>NC_000011.10:101717879-102020909 GCF_000001405.40 Homo sapiens | reverse complement strand
ACTTCTTGGCATCATAAACTAGCTGGCTAAAGCCATGCCTTGGACACCACACTCATATCTGGCTCTGTTAATCTGAGATGGAAAACTAAATAGATTAGAAAAGCATTAGACTGCTTTTGACACCAATGTCAGTTGGTAATCAGTATATTGGGAAGAGTGCTTAGGGGTTGAAAGAGCAGTCATGTGACTATCTCTGCACTTTAAGAATAGCCTGGAACTTATTACAATTTCCCATTGGGTTAACCAGGAAAATACTCACTTTACTATACCTTGGAAAGAATTTGTCTATTTCAACTCCAGAGTTGGACGTTTAAACTTGGCTGATCCAGCAAAGTTTATATAAGCAAAACAAAAGAAGATCTGGCCCACACTATTGTGACCCATGAATCATTTATCACCTGTCTCCCTGGTTTTTACACCTTGGCTCTTCACACTGGTTTTAATATCTGTTTCTAGAACATTTAGTTTGGAGTTCACTTTGGCCTTTTCTTTCCCCCTTTTTTTTTTTTTTTTTTTTGAGACGGAGTCTCCCTCTGTCACCCAGGCTGGAGTGCAGTGGCGGGATCTCGGCTCACTGCAAGCTCCGCCTCCCGGGTTCACGCCATTCTCCTGCCTCAGCCTCCCAAGTAGCTGGGACCACAGGTGCCCGCCACCACGCCCGGCTAATTTTTTGTATTTTTTAGTACAGACAGGATTTCACCGTGCTAGCCAGGATGGTCTCCATCTCCTGACCTAGTGATCTGCCCGTCTCAGCCTCCCAAAGTGCTGGGATTACAGGTGTGAGACACCACACCTGGCCTCTTCTTCTTCTTCTTTTTTTTTTTTTCCTGACACAGCCTTGCTCTGTTGCCCAGGCTGGAGTGCAGTGGCACCATCTTGGCTCACTGCAACCTCCACCTCCTGGATTTCAGCGATTCTCGTGCCTCAGCCTCTTGAGTAGCTGGGACTACAGGCACGCACCACCATGCCTGGCTAATTTTTGTATTCTTAATAGAGATGGGGTTTTGCCATGTTGCCCAGGCTGGTCTTGAACTCCTGGCCTCAAGTGATTCACCCAGCTTGGCCTCCTAAAGTGCTGGGATTATAGGCATGAACCACCATGCCTGGCCCACTTTTTGAAGTTTAGTTTTCTATTCTTTTGGTTTTATCATTCTTTGTGATCTTGTAAGCAATCCATTACTGCTGTCTTGTGTGGGTAGGTGAGTGGATGGGGGAGTCATACCTGGAAGGTTAACTGTGCAAGGATGGAGATGAGTTAACTTTTGGGTTTATTAAGGATAAGATGAGGTCTTGAATGCCTTACTCCTTCAAGGGTCTAATTTTGCACTCTAGGTCTCACCAAAAAGGATTTCTGTGGAAAATATTCAGCATTAAAAAAATGTATACTTCTGAAGTGCTTGCAGTTCATTCTTTGACTATGTTTGGTGATGATTTTATACCATTTTCATTTCTGTGTCCTAGGCATAGCTTCTAGGACTTCATCCAATTTATTGATAAAAAATGCTTAATGGAATTGGACCCGATACAAAGTCCTCTGGCACGATACTAAAAACCTTCCATTAGATGGACAGATCTATTGTTACACATAACTGTACTGTATTGCAACCTGTATTCTTCTAGTTTGTCTACAAGAACATTATAAAATACTTTGTTCTGTGATTTTTGGAAAATAAGATCCAATGGGCCTATAACAATCCTTCTGTCTACTTCAATGGTTTTCAGGCTGTCTTCCTTGAAATCCAGCATTTTTTGGAAGTGTCTCAGGGTCTACTTTGTGGAATAGAGAAAAGAGGCTTTTCCTCTCCCTCTTCATTCAGAACAAATCAGAGAAGCTCTACTCTTATCTATTTTAGGTAAGACTTCATTTGCCTAGAGGAATATTTGGCTTTATAATGTTTGAAAACCATTTTTTCAAGGTAAATAGCTGCTGCTGCTAAAAAGAGACAAAACACCCCTTATGCTACCAATTCCTTCTGTGTCTGAACTGGGTCATTAGTCATTACAGTTCAGTTGTGTACTTACAAACTATTCTCTAGACATGTTTCCAGGCTTTTATGGACTATCTTGTGAAATTAATTACAGTTACAATGTGATTCCACAGGAAAATTCATTCTGAGTTTCAAGAAGGAGCATTAAGGAGTTAAGAAAGAGAGTGTGTTCTGGGGTCAGATTTCCTGGTTTTGAACTTCAGCCTGCCATGCTTTCTGTGTGGCTTTGGACAAGTTTCTTGACCTCTCTCTGTTTCACTCTTCTCATCTTTTTTTGTTTTTTTTTTTGTTTTTTGTTTTTTGTTTTGAGAAAGAGTCTCGCTCTGTTGCCCATGCTGGAGTGCAATGGCGTGATCTCAGCCTACCTCCTGGGTTCAAGGGATTCTCCTGCCTCAGCCTCCCAAGCAGCTGGGACTACAGGGGCCTGCCATCACGCCCAGCTAATTTTTATATTTTTAGTAGAGATGGGTTTCACCATGTTGGCCAGGCTGGTCTTGAACTCCTGACCTCAAGTGATCTGCTTGCCTCGGCCCCTCCCAAAGTGCTGGGATTACAGGCGTGAACAACCACACTTGGCCTGTTCTCATCTTTTTAAAAGAGGACAATATTCTATCTACATTACAAGGCTTTGAGAGCATGAAATGGGATTATCATGTACTGTGCCCCGCAGAGTGCCTGGCACATGGTAAGTATCCAGTCATTTGTGGTTATTATTACCGTAATTTGTTCAAAAGCTGCTCATGATTGCACACGACTGTTTACTTCAAAAATTATCTGTAGTACCTTAATTTATGAGGACTTGACATAAGGTGGGTCCTCAATAAAAACTGACTGAAGATCTAACTGAAGCCTTCTCATCTTTCCCTTTAGGGGAAAATTCATTGTTGGATTATATACATTAATTCAACCTTCACTGAAGTTATTTTTATTGGATTGTTTTAATAGGGGAAAAAAGGCATATCAACAAAATTCATTACTAGGAAGCTTGAATTTTACCCAAAAACTTAATATATTCTGGCTGGGTGCTGTGGCTCATGCCTGTAATCCCAGCACTTTGGGAAGCCAAGACAGGTGGATCACTTGAGCCTGCGAGTTCAAGACCAGCCTGGGCAACATGGCAAAATCCCATCTCTATAAAAAATATAAAAATTAGCCAGGTGTGGTGGCGGGCATCTGTAGTCCCAGCTATTTGGGAGGCTGAGGTGGGAGGATTACTTGAGTCGGGGAGGCCAGGGCTGCAGTGAATTGAGATCACACTACTACACTCCAGCCTGAGTGACAGAATGAGACCCTGTCTCAAAAATGAATAATGTTTTATTTGATGTTTCTTTAGGTAGCCATGCTGAAAGATGAAGTTATACAAATTATTTAAAAGTTACATTAACTATTTAAGAATTGTTTTGAGAACAAATATGTGTTAATGAAACCACTATACAGGATCAATACTTTAGCAGTTGCTTCTGGGAGGAGATTACCTTTTGTTTACTTCTGACTTATAAAACTGACTAAAAAATAATTTAAAAACTAATGTAGTCAATGAAATCTCATGTAATTTTTAGCTGGTTTGTCATGGAAATAAACTGGAAAGTGATGAGTTAGCTTTATGGAAGAGGCTGATTTCATTCTCTCCCATTTAAAATGATACTTTTGGCTGATGATTTATTTGTATTAAAGTTCCTCTTGGCTGCCTAGCTGTGCACACCTTCCAAGTTTTTTCTTGTAATGCTCTTAAAGCATCTTTCGGTCTTTGATGCTATTTTTGCCTTCCCAATTCATTTGGCAAAAAGCTGTTTGAAAACCTTACTCACTTCAGACAGTACGTACATTTAGAAAGCAATCTAAATAAATAACGATGAAATATTTTGCATTAGGGTAGATCAGCTAGATTCTCCTAGAAATATGGTATCCACTTGCTAAGCCAGTGGCTTTAATAGCTTTTTTCCTTAAAAAAGACAAAAGAAAACCCATTTATTCTTTGTTTTTTCTCAAGCCAAGGAGAAAACAGTTCTACTTCTCCATGTTGATGAAATAGATTTGTAACATGTTTTTATTCTAAACCCTAGCCCTTTAAATATATGTATATATATCCACTATCTTGAGCTGTTTGTACTTTTTTTTGGTGGCAATTATTCTGCCAAATAGAATATTTTGTATACAGAAATTTCACAACAAAAGGAATATGACTCTTACACTTACTGTGTTCAAATCTGAGACATGAATTTCAGTGTGTGACCCTCCCATGAACAAAAATCTCTATACTTTTTTGACTAAATTAACCATGACATGCATTTGCTTGAATTGTTTTTTTATTTTTCTTTTGTTTCTTTCTTTTTTAATCTTACTATTTTCTTCTGCCTTTCTCATTTCTTTGTTTTTATATTTTTAATTTTTTTGGTATTTTTTTTATAACAGCTGTAGTGAGATATAATTCACATACCATAATATTTACCCTTATAAAGTATATAAAACTCAGCGGCTCTTAACGCATTTGTAGAGTTGTGCAACCACCACCACTAATTTTAGAATACTTCATAACCTGACGTAGACTCTATACCCATTAGCAGTTATTCCCTGTTTCCTCTTCCTAGCCGCTGGCAACCACTAATCTATTTTCTGCTTCTGTAGATTTGCCTGTTTTGGACATTTTATATAAATGGAATCATACAATATGTGACTAGCATCTTTCACTTAGCATGATGTTAATGTTTTCAAGATGCATCTATACTGTAGCATATATCAGTACTTTATTCTTCATTGCTGAATAAGATTCCACTGTGTGGATATACCACATTTTATTTATCCATTCATCAGTTGATGCACATTTGGGTTAGTTCTTCTTTTTAGTTATTATAAATAATGCTGCTATGAATATTTATGTAAAAGTTTATGTGTAGATATATGTTTTCAATTCTTTTGAGTATGTGTGTATCTAGAAATGGTCTCCTTTTTTTTAACTTTCATTTTTTAAAATCCGAGATAAAATGTCAACAATACATTGTTATTCACATTTTTAGTTATTTTATGAATCATTTGTTTAATTGTGGTGTTTGACTTTTATTAATTTCTTAAAACTCTGTATATTCACATATTATTGTCAAATTATTGCAATTTCATTGCTTTAAAAAAAGCATTTTAATTGTTTTTTGGCCCAGTGTGGTAGCTCATTCTTGTAATCTAGCACTATGGGAGGCTGAGATGGGAGGATTCCTTGAGGACAGAAGTTCAAGACCAGCCTAAGCAACATAGCAAGACCCCCATCTCTATTTAAAAAAACAAAACAAAAAAACCAAAAATGTATTGCTCAATAATTATTTTGAATTTAAAGTTTATCAAAGTTACAGATAGCTTAAACATAAAATACAAGTCTTATTATTATGGAATAATTAGCAGTATCCCTCTCCATTTCTTCTCCCTAGATAATATTCTTTTAGCTTTTTCTTATAGTATTTACTTCCATATTTCTAAATAACATGCTTATCCTGTCATTCTTGGTATTTGTTTCATATATTACCTGTTAACCTCTTAGTATATTCTCTACCTGTCTCCCTCACACTTCCCATTCTCCCAGCCTACTAAAATTCTTATTAATTTTTGTTAGATCAATATTGAACATTTGCATTATTATGACTAAATATAATTTTTGCTGTTGTCATCTAGTATACTATGAATATTTATTATTCCTTGTTCACATTTTTGTTTTGGTTGTCATACAAATTATGATTTTTCTGTTTAGTTTTCTACGTAATTTATCACTAATTCTTTCTCTTCCAGATTGCACACATCCTCTTAGTAACTCAAACTTAGTAGATTTCCTATCAATTTTATCTTCTTGTGGCCATTCCTTCTGTACTTGTCTTGACTGGTTGCTTTGTAGGCTTGCCGCACAGCTGAATTTTTCCTTTACCGTCACCCTGGGGATTTCTGTTTGTGTTTTGCCTTTTCCTTGTTGCTCTGCATCCTTTGAGAACCTATCCTCTGGGCTGGGATGGGTTTCAGAGCACCTCAGCTAAGGTCTTTGATCAGTTATGCTCCGTAGCTGGAGGGCTGCAAAGTGCATTCTCATGGCCACTGCAGCTCTCTTGCCTCTCAGATTTCTTATCTTTGTTTTCTTGGTTTACTCCCTTGTTTTAGTAGATCGTATCGTCTAGTAGCTTAAGAACATCATGGCCCAAGATCCCGCTTCAGTAGTCCTCAAATATTTGGTTATTCCCCTTTCCTCAGTGTATTCCCACAGAAATGACCATAGGTCCCTTAAGACAACGACTGAGGGAATCTTTGCAGTATATATTTCTTGGGGGAATTGCAGGGTCCTTCTTCCTGGAGACCCGGCCATCTTATCATTTAATGGGTTTCAGTTTAAAAATAGGGGCCGGGCGCAGTGGCTCACGCCTGTAATCCCAGCACTTTAGGAGGCCGAGGCGGGTGGATCACGAGGTCAGGAGATCGAGACCATCCTGGCTAACACGGTGAAACCCCGTCTCTACTAAAAATACAAAAAATTAGCCGGGCGCTGTGGCGGGCGCCTGTAGTCCCAGCTACTCCGGGGGCGCTGAGGCGAGAGAATGGCGTGAACCCGGGAGGCGGAGCTTGCAGTGAGCTGAGATGGCGCCCACTGCACTCCAGCCTGGGCGACAGAGTGAGACTCCGTCTCAAAAAAAAAAAAAAAAAATTGGCTCAGGCCGGGTGCGGTGGCTCATGCCTGTAATCCCAGCACTTTGGGAGGCCGAGGTGGGCGAATCACTTGAGGTCAGGAGTTTGATACCAGCCTGGCCAACATGGTGAAACCTTGTGTCTATCAAAAATATAAAAAAGTAGCCGGGCATGGTGGCATGTGCCCGTAATCCCAGGTACTTAGGAGGCTGAGGCAGGAGAATCACTTGAACCCAGGAGGTGGAGGTTGTGGTGAGCCGAGATCGTGCCACTGCACTCCAGCCTGGGCGACAGAGCAAGACTCTGTCTTAAATAAAAAGGCTCAGGTCTGGAAACTGAGCAAGATATTATAATTTTTATTGGGACCACTGTCCTAAGCTACCTACTCCTCCATTCTTTACTTGTTTTGATTGTAGATGTTAAGTAGTACCCTTGTAGGGTGCCAACTTGTTTGGACCCTAGAAACTCCAAATTATATTCATCATTTCTACAACTGCCTGACAACCAAGCCCCCTCTGCTGCTTCTTTAACCTTGCTGGTTTTTAGAGTAACTGTGGCCCCTGGCTTCTGGCAGTTACCTGGTCTCTCTTACTCTGGGGGCTCATCATGCTCGCTACAATTAAGGAGCCCAGCTCTGTAATAGAGGAGGCTTGATCTCCTCTCATACCTTCAGTCCTGGCCTACAGAGCAGAGCCACCACTGAAGTTCTTCGTGATATCAGTGCCCCTCTCTCACTACTCCTTGTTAAGAGCTAGCATTTACTCCACCTGAGAAGACCCTACTGAGGCCTTTCCACCACAAGGCAGCCAGAAACCCCTCACAGTTACCCTCCGTCTGCTGACAAGCAGATAACTAGTGTTAAATCCCAGCCCAATACAGCTGGGGAAGTTCTAGGTCTGAAGGATCTGCAAGAAGGATCTGCAGGAAGAGGCAGCAGCATCACTGAGATCTTGTTGGTTCCTGCAGTCTCCTAATGGTAGGAGAGATAGGCACCGATTTGGGAATCCAGTGACCAGGAATTCTTGGGGCTACCCACCCAGATGTTTCAGGGCTCTGGTCTTTTTGTGACAGATCTGCCTTGCCTGATAAATGCCTCTGCAGCTCCTTATTCTAAGTCCTATGATTGCCCCGCAGCTGAGCTCTCTTCCACTGCAGGGTGATAAGGATCTCTTTGTAAGCAATACCACCGCAAGTGCATCCTGGCTCTCATACTTAACCTTTAGTTGTTAACTGCTCTCAGTTTCTCATCACTCTGAAGGTTTTCAATTCAACTTAGTAATAACTAGCTACTGTCTTTGCAGGTGTTAGTCCCACTGCATCTTTTAAATGCCTGGATTCTTGAATTGGCAAGCCTGTTTTTCTCAGGGAATGTTTCCCCAGGTCATCACCTGTGAAATAGTGGCAGTCGAGCCACTACCTTGAGCCAGGGACAATCTGTGACCCACTCTCCACTCAGCATGGGGTTTTCCTTGCCATTCAGTGATTCCATCCCCAATCTCCACCTTTTAGCCTGCTTTCTTGGACTGTTCCTGGTACCAACTATGTCAGTTAAGTTCCTCTGAAAAGCAGATCTCAAGATGGAATTAGAGGTGTATGAGATTTATTGGGAAGAAACACCTGTGAAGGATAAAGGTTATGATGTTATGATGTGTGTCTGACACATGTGAAAAGAGCATGGGAAGGAAGAAGTAGCTCTGAAAAAGGAAGTCTTGCCCAGGCCTATTGAGGCACCCATATGTAAAGACTATCCACCAGAGAAGTCCCTCACTGGTTAAGAATTGTCTGTTTCTGGGACACCCACAATTTTCCACAGTCTTCCACAATGTTCAGTCACTGGGAACAGTCTGCGGGGAGAAAGGCATTGATGTGAACACCATGGTGGATGCAGGAGGTACAGCAGGTAGGGGCTGTCAGCCAACAGTCTCTTTTGCGCAGGTTATCTCTTGAAAGGAAATCTGAGCGGTGCGTGTTCATAACTACCATAGCTATTGTAGCTTGATACAACGCCTGCTTTGCTGTAAATCAGGTTTATTTGCAAGAGTTTTTATTTATTTTTATATGTATTTTGATTTTTAATATGTACTTTATTGATTTTTATATGTATCTTGTGCCAGTACCACATTATCTTAATTATAAGAGCTTTTGCTGGGTGCCATGGCTCACGCCTGTAATCCCAACACTTTGGGAGGCTGAGGTTGATGGATCACTTGAGGCCAGAAGTTTGAGACCAGCCTGGCCAACATGGCAAAATGCTGTTTCCACTAAAAATACAAAAATTAGCCTGGCGTGGTGGTGCATGCCTATAATCCCAGCTACTTGGGTGGCTGAGGCAGGAAAATCACTCGAACCCGGGAGGTGGAGGTTGCAGTGAGCTGAGATAGTGCCACTGCACTCCAGCGTGGGTGACAGAGCAAGATTCTGTGTCAAAAAAAGGAGAGAAAAACAAAAAGTCTTGTTATTTGATAGGGCAAGTACCTCCACGTTAGTCTTCGGACACAGGTGTATCTGGGCTATTCTTGTTCTTTCCTCTTTCACATAAATTTTTAGATCATCTTGTCAAATTCCACAAACAGGCCTTGAGTGTTTTAGTTGGAATTGCATTGAATGTTTAATATCAATGGGAGGAACTGACATGATATTGAGTTTTCAAATCCAAGGATATGGTATATACATCCATTTATTTAAATCTTTTAAAATGTCTTTCAATATTTTAATCTTTTTTCCAGAAAAGGCTTGCATATCTTTTTAAAGATTCAGAGTTGGCATTTTAAATTTGGTTATTTTTGTAAATGGTATCTTTTAAAAAGTTACAAATTTTTTTTTTTGGTCGTTTCTTGCTGGTGTGCAGTCGTGCCTTTCAAAACGGACCTACCTTGAGGCAAAGGGGCCAGGACTTCATGCCCCACATCAACCAGGCATTGGATAAGGGCGGCCCTCAGGGACTGGGTGTGGCCCCGTGTGAGGAGTCTCTTGGCCTGCGGGAAATGCCTGGAGAGTGACTCAGCTGAGAGCTGTCAGCCGCCGACATTCCTGTCAGCTGGGGAAAGACTCCTCAGGTCCTGACGGGACTATCTCAGCAGCAAGCCCTCAGCAACCACTAAATGCCTTCTAATGGGTTAAAGAAATTCTCGTTTATTCATAGTTTTAAAGTTAAATGTTCCTGCTTTGGCAAAAGAAGGAGAGTGGTCCAGCTGTCTTGCATGACATTTGGATCTGGGGTTTAACTGTTTGTCTAACAGACTTCCAACTAATCATTACTGTTTCAGTCTTACCTTTACCCCCAGTTTGCAGAACTACCGGATGACTTTCAAACCTGGGCCTTTCTGGTTTTGCAGGAAAGACTGGCTTGCTTTAGGCTTCCCCTACTGCCAGCATAGGTTTTAGCTTTCTTTGATTATCTAAATCAGTTACCACTTCATCACCTGCTTTCTAACCTTCCAAGTTTTGGCGCTGTCTTCCCTTGTTTTCTCTTTGTCTTGTACTCCCTCCTTTTATTTTATTATTACTTACAACAATTGAGACATCTAGGGTATCTCTTTCTCTGTTTTTTTGAGACAGAGTCTCACTCTGTCGCCCAGGCTGTCGTGCAGTGGCGCGATCTCGGCTCACTGCAACCTCTGCCTTCCGGGTCCAACCGAATCTCCTGCCTCAGCCTCCCGAGTAGCTGGGATTACAGGTGCCTGACACCACGCCTGGATAATTTTTTTGTATTTTCAGTAGAGACGGGGTTTCACTAGGTTGGCCAGGCTGGTCTCAAACTCCTGACTTCAGGTGATCCGTCTGCCTCAGCCTCCCAAAGTGCTGAGATTACAGGCATGACCCACCGTGCCTGGCTGCTATCTGTCCTTTTTAATCCTTGTGATTTAAGTAGGGCTTCAGGAAAGAGCAGAGGTATAATAATGCTTCCAATTGCTCTCTTGCCTGAAAGCCCTGTTTGATTTGGAGATTTATGAAGTATGGGCAAAGCAGGCTGAGTTTGACACATGCTGTTTCTAATGCCTGAAATTACATCCTCTTCCATCCTTGCTTGTCTAACCCATCCTTCAGCCCTCACTTTGGTAGTCACATTTTCCAGAAAGCCTGCCTTCACAGCCCAAGTCCTGGATTAGATGGCCCTTCTAGGCAATCTCATTATAATCTGTGTTCACTCACACTTTGCTGTAATTGCCTGTTTGCCGGTCTTTAAGATCTCATAGGCTAAATGTTTTGATTAGTGGGATTGTATTTGATCTCTATTGGAGTCCCTGGTCCCAAGCATAGAGATGATTTAAGAGGTACTCAGTAAAGTTGTATTGAGTGAATACGTATTACATAGCTTTGAATTGATTTCTGATCAATGCAGTAACTTACAAAGTTCTCACTTTCTGCAAATATTTTTTTCATTCTTTCTTTGCTGGGCTGGAGAAACCAAAAAGGCAAAATACTAGTTTTATTTCCGTGGACATTGGAAGCTTTAACTAATGTCATTTAAAAAGTACTTGGATTTCATCTTTAATATGAAGAGTTAGATGGAGTGGCTGATGTATAAATTTCTTTCTTTAAAATTATTTGAAATTCTTGGAAAGTTTTCTACTTAATCTTTAAAAAAAGGCATTGTAAAAAATCTCTGGAAGAAAGGCATTATGACAACGACTGCATATACAATAAAATATGAGGATAAAATATTAAAAATGGAAAAGAGATTTTTAATGAGTTTTAGGTGTTCATAAATATTGTTTAGGTCATAATCCATTTTAGGAAATATAAGCAACATTGATAACTTTGGCAACCTTTTAATATAAATTAATTTAAAATTGCATATCATATTTACCATTCTGTAGAGCAATACTCTTAGTGCTTTCATACTTTGCAGTCAAAAGTGCCACTGTGCCTGGCCTGGATGGCAGGAAGATTGCTTGAGCCCAGGAGTTTGAGACTAGCCTGGGCAACATGGCAAGACCCCATCTCTTTAAAAAAATTAAAAAAAAAAAGGGCCATCCAATGGAACAAAACTCAGACTGATGTAACCTTTCCAAGATAAAGTTCTTGGAGAGTTTGTTTTGACTGATACTTATATACAGGAGATAACACAAAATTATACCTACTCATCTTCTGATTCTGAAGGTCCAGGCCTCCTTTTACGAATATTTGTAGATAAGGAATACCCTGGAAGATGCTTTTGTGACAAGCAAACTCATCCTCCAGTATAGAAAATCTGTTACAGGGTCTGTAATTCAGCTACACAGGACATCTGGAAAGGCAGACTTTGAGGGGCATTCTTTCTCTTTCATGTGTACACTTTTATCAAAGGAGACAATTTCATTTGCTTTTAATTTTTTTGGACTTCTCTGAAGTTACACATGCACAATGTAGATAGTGTGAAAAATATAAAAAAAAAGTATTAAGAAAAAATGAAAATCACCTGGAATCTGATTGCAGAGAAACCACTCCTGATATTTGATTGCATTAATTTCCTGGCTTTTCTTTCTTGATGTGTTTATTTCCTCCCATGGTTGAGACACTCTAAGTATAGCTCCAGGTCCCTCTCTTTCCACTTAGCAACGAATCATTGTTATTTCTTTAATTCATTAAATATTCTTTGAAAATATAATTTTAATGGCTGTGTAATAGTCATCATATAAATGTACCATAATTTAACAGTTTCCCTGTTTATCACCTTATAGAATGTTTTCTTATTTTTCCTATTATAGCAATAAGCTATATTTCATAACTTTATTGTAAGTCTTGTTATGACTGAGGAAATTCAGTCTGCAACTCTGAAGAATGAAAGTAAACACAGATTTGTAGTAGAGACTTTTTTGAGGTAATACATGTGAAATGTATGTAAGTTACTAATAGAAAAGATAATATATTTGGTAGGTATGATTAGTATTAGTGTATGGGGAATTTTATTTGTATTATTTATATTATCTGTATTGTTAAACTTAAGCAGCCTACTATTTCAGAAAACGTTAAATCATATCTACTTTCAGAATAAATTAAATCATAAACCATAGTCTATATGACATAGTTAATATATTAAACCAAGTGTTCTCAGAGAACACTCGTTGTCAAACTGGATGGCAAGCTATTAGTGGGTGAAGATATATTATTCCTTGTAACCAACATTTTTTTAAAATAAAATACAATAGAATATAAAAATATCAAAGGGCATGCCTTAGTTAAGTTTTCTTACTGGAAAGAGTGAAAGCTACTGGCATTGACTGATAGAAAAGTTTATTGTTTTATAACCACTAGAGGGCAGTCATTACATTAGTTTTAAAAAAGGCCAACTAACAGCTTAATACAAGTTGACCTAGTTTTACAACTGATTATGATAGACATAAAATTACATTTAAAAAGATTGTCGGGCTGTTAATGTACTGTTATTTGAGGACCTATTACATGGCACACATTGAGTTAGGGAGACATTGATGAATAAGACATGTTCTAGAATGCAGTGAGAAGGTAAGTGTGATATTACAAGGCAGTTATGCATGTCATTTGGGCTTATGTTTGCCTTTCCAGCCTCATATCCTGCCACTCCCCAACTTGCAACCTGAACTGCAATCATGCTGAGCTACTTGTAGTCACCTTGAACATACTGTTCTGTCTTCCTGGAATATTTTTTGTGTCCCTCTCTGCCTGGTGAACCGCAACTTATACTTTAAGCCCCAATATCCTGACTTTCCCAGACAGAAAAAAATATGTGCTTTCTCCACTTGACTCCTTTAGGGTCAAGTTCAGCCCTATTACAGTTGATTACTTATGTCTCATTCCCCCAGGAAACTGAACTACTGGAGGGCAGGGAATATATCATTCATTTTTTTTTTTTTTTTTTTTCTGTAGCTGGGGTATAGTGCCTGGCACATAGACAGTGCTTAACATAAATATTTAGTCAATAAGCAAATAGAAGTGCTATAAAGAGATACTGTAATGAATTTCTTTCTTACATAATCTCTCTATTGATCTTCTACCCTCTCATTTTGTATATGCCACTAACGTAGCAGCTATTCAACCGCCAAAGCAAACCAAAGACAGACTGACTTATTGATGGTGAGGGAGGGTTAGGCTTTATTGAATATGAAAGGCAAAGGGAATTTTGGAGGATAATTTAGGTTTCCCTAGTTATTTTCCCCATGATGACTTGCAAGATTATATTTACTTTAGGAATACAATAGCTAAGACTAAATAACCTTTATTTTTCCATCCCTTCCTTACTTTCGCAATATTTACTTGGCCAAGTAGGTAAAGTGGTTTTGTTTGCCATTTGGCTAGCAGCTAATGATGCTGACACCTTTGGTATTAAGAAGACAGGGTGCCAGCCGGGTGCGGTGGCTCACACCTGTAATCCCAGCACTTAGGGAGGCCAAGGCAGACAGATCACCTGAGGACAGGAGTTCGAGACCGGCCTGGCCAACATGGTGAAACCCCATCTCTACTAAAAATATAAAATTAGCCAGGTGTGGTGGTGAATGCCTGTAATCCTAGCTACTATGGAGGCTGAGGCAGGAGAATTGCTTGAAACCGGCAGGTGGAGGTTGCAGTGAGCCAAGATCGCAGCATTGCACTCCAGCCTGGGAGACAAGAGTGAAATGCTGTCTCAAAAAAATAAAAAAAAAAGACAGAGTTCCTAGTACATTCCACTGGTAGGCTATAAAAGCTTAAAAGATTTAAAGTTTCAGTATGTTCTAAGTGCTCATGTGGCGAATTAAACAATTCTCCACCCAATTGGTATATGCATTTGTTTATAAAAGGTTTCGTTATATGTTCACCTTAGTCATGTTTGTAAAAAGTTGAAAAAATATTTTTAGCTAATTCTAAATCTTGTAAATAAGCCTATACTCATAATCATCTGGAAAATTCTTCTCTGAAAAGAAACCTTGGCTGGGCGCAGTGGCTCATGCCTGTAATCCTAGCTCTTTGGGAGGCCGAGGTGGGTGGATCACTTGAGGTGAGGAGTTTGAGACCAGCCTGGCCAACGTAGTGAAACCCCGTCTCTACTAAAAATACAAAAATTAGCCAGACATGGTGATGGGTGCCTGTAATTCCAGCTACTCGGAAGGCTGAGGCAGGAGAATCACTTGAACTTGGGCGGTGGAGGTTGCAGTGAGCCGAGAAGGTGCCCCTGCACTCCAGCCTGGATGACAGAGCGAGACTCTGTCTCCAAAAAAAAAGCTGGTTGTACATGGTAGAGGTTAAGTCAGTTCTAAAGACAGATAGACTTTGGTTTGATTCCTGGATATATCTTTCCCCACCTTTGCAACTTTGGGCACATTACTTAACCTTGCAACACCTCAATTCTCTTATTTGAATATGGACATAATAATAATGCTTCATGGGGTTCCTAGGAGGATTAGATGAAATCCTGCATATAAAGAGCTTTGCACAAGACTTGGCATATTAAAAGCTTTCAACAAACATTAGCTGTTGTTATAGGAAAAGGTCTTTATTGCAAGATAAAATCTTTTTTTTCTTGGCATGTAGACATTTTTCCATTTCAAATAATCAGCTCTTAATGGTTTTTTTTCTTCTACTGTGGCAATAAAAAGGAGTATTTTTGTCATTTTGATAAGACATATACCATAAGCAAATGAGTGCTTGTGACTGTAAAAACCTTGGTGGTGAAGCCTCCCCTGTGGGATGCTGCAGCCCAGGGACAACTGTATGGACCTCAAAAAGTCTCCCACACTGTTTCCCCATTGATAGGGTTTGGCTCTGTGTCCCCACCCACATCTCATGTTGAATTGTAATCCCCAGTGCTGGAGGTGGGGCCTAGGGGGAGGTGATTGGATCACGGAGGCAGTTTCTCATGGTTTAACACCACCCTCCATTGGCGCTGTCTTCACGATAGTGAGTTGTCATGACATCTGGTTGTTTAAAAGTGTGTGGCACCTTTGTCCTCTCTCTCCTGCTCCTGCTCCTACCACGAAAGATGTGCCTGCTTCCCCTTTGCCTTCTGCCATGATTGAAAGTTCCCTGAGGCCTCCCCAGAAGCTGAGCAGATGGGAGCATCATGCTTCCTGTGCAGCCTGTGGAAACACGAGCCAGTTAAACCTTTTTTCTTTATAAATTACCCAGTTTCAGGTATTTCCTTATAGCAGTGCAAGAACAAACGAATCCACCCATCTAGCCACAGAGTTCGTAATCTTTACAGCCACTGCAGAGGCAATAGGAAATATTGCTGCAGTATCAAGCACCTTGAGGATCTTTTACTACTTTGATGAGATGGAAATTTCTCTTCTTCAGTATCATTGATATTGGGCTTGGAATGTGGCTTTGAAACAGACTGTCTAAATTATTAACTTCTGTGGGCAAGAACATTGCTCTGTATGATCCATATCAAGTGACATATATATATATATATATATATATATATATATATATATATATATATGTAAGTGCTTAATACATTAAAAACTATTCAATGTATGTTTTAATGTTTTCTATAATTACAGTGATAATTGTTCCAAACTCCAAATTGGGACATTTAGTATAACAAAAGATTTTAAACATTTTGAGAATTTAAAACATTTTAACTTGTTATTTTGAAATAACTTTAGATTTACAGAAGAGTTGCCATAATGACACAAAGGGTTTCTGTGTACCTATTACCCAGCTTTTTCTAATGTTAACATCCTACATAACCAGGTACAGTTATCAAGACTAAGAAATGAATATTTGTATATAACACTATTAACAAATGACAGACTTTATTAGAATTCTACCATTCTTTTTAAAATGAATATCCTTATTCTGTTTCAGGGTCCAATCAAAGATGTTATGAAACATTTTGTGGTCATGTTCTTTTGTCTCCTCAGACCTGTGACAATCTCTGTCTTTCCTTCTCTTTCATAACCTTGACATGTTTGGAAAGTCCCTCAGTTTGAGTTTGTGTGATGTTTTTCTCTTGATTAAATTGAGGTTATGAAGTTCTGGGAAGAACACAGCAGAGGTGATATAATCTTCTCAGTGCATCATATCACATTATATCAGGAGGTACAACATGATATTGACATGTCTTTTTATTAGTAATTTTAACCTTGATCATTTGGTTCAGGTGATATCAGCTAGGTTTCTGTACTGTAAAATTACTTTTTTCCCCTCTTTGCAATTAATACATATTTTATGGGAGATACTTTGAGGCTCCCTAAATACCCTGTTTCTTCTTACAGTTTTTAACAAATGTTGGCAGTCATTTGTGGATCTTGCTTGCAACAATTAATTGTGGTTTTCTAATGGTGATCTTTATATTTCTCTAATTTCTTCTACATTTATTAATTGGAGTTCTACTGTGAAGAAGAGTCATTCCTTCTTCCTCATCTATTTATGCACTCATTTATTCATATCAGTATAGGCAGGTGTAATTTGTTCAAATTGTTTACACTTACCTTCTCAAATTGTAACAGCTTTGACATGGGGAGCTCTGTCAGGTTGGCTCCTGTGTCTTTTTGGAATGTCCCCATTTTATTTATTTATTTATTTACTTATGTATTTTGAGACGGAGCTTTGCTCTTGTTGCCCAGGCCAGGGCAACCTGGCTCCTGTGTCTTTTTGGAATGTCCTCATTTTATTTATTTATTTATTTATTTATTTATTTATTTATTTATTTAGAGACAGAGCTTTGCTCTTGTTGCCTAGGCCGGAGTACAATGGCACCATCTCAGCTCACCGCAACCTCCGCCTCCTGGGTTCAAGCGATTCTCCTGCCTCAGCCTCCCGAGTAGCTGGGATAATAGACTCCTGCCACCACGTCTGGCTAAGTTTTTCTATTTTTAGTAGAGATGGGGTTTCTCCATGTTGGTCAGGCTGGTCTCAAACTCCCGACCTCAGGTGATCTGCCCGCCTCGGCCTCCCAAAGTGTTGGGATTACAGGCGTGAGCCACCTGCACCCAGCCCACTTTTATTTATATTTAATTTAGTATAACCTTACTCTGTATCTTGTATTTTGCCTGCCCTAGCCCTGGATTCAATCACTTCTCTAAAAGCCCTGGATCCTTTTATTAGAGAATGGTATTTAGAAACCAAGATCTGGGTGTGAAGTCTTTTGTGTGTCAGATACTGTCAGCAAAGACATATATATATATATATATATATATATATATACACACACATATATGTACTAACCTATGTAGACACACATATCTATATTTCTGTATCCATGTATCTGTATCTATATTTTTAAAATTATGAATTTACACTCATATGTTGTTTTTAAAATTTTAAAAATTATTTGTTTAGAGACAGGGTCTCACTTTGTTGCCCAGGTTGGAGTGCTGTGGTGCAGTCATGGCTCACTGCAGCCTTGAACTTCTGGGCTCAAGTGATCCTCCTGCCTCAGTCTCCCAAGTAGCTAGGACTACAGGTACATGCCACCATGCCTGGCTATTTTATTTCAATTTTTATAGAGACTGGATCTTGCTATGTTGCACAAGTTTGTTTCAAATTTTGGCCTCAAGCAATCCTCCTCCCTCGGCCTCCCAAAATGTTGGGGTTATAGGCGTGAACCATCGTGCCTGGCCTTGGTACCTTATTTTTGAGAGCCCCCAGCTAAATTGGGGTTCCAATATCAGAGTAGCTAGCAACCCTACCCCAACAGGATATGAAGGGGAGATGGATGTGGGTGTTTACAGTGTGCCTTTCATGGGATACTTCTTTTACCTGGAGGATGGCCTAAGTCCTAGTTGCCTGACCTGACTGGGGGTCCCTCACATGGGAAACTTGTTTATACTGGCAGATGCCCTTGTGGCTCTTGTCTGATCCATGTCCAGTTTATGCCTGCCTGACCATCACTTTGGCACTGGGAGTTCAACCTTGTGCTCTCCCTGGTGTCCCCTGGTTCTTCAGATGGAAAGCACAAATTCAGTACATCACCACAATAGGAAATAAGTTCAAAGATTTTCACTTACAGATCCTGGGCAAGGAGGGCATAATGAGTCAGGAGGGCAGTCCTCTGTCCCCAGGTCATATGAGGCAGAAAGGAAGAGCCAGAGAGAAAGTGTGTCTAGCAGCATGTCTAAGGGAATGGAGTGTGGGCCACTTTAATAGGCAAATGTCTAAATGGTCCATTTAAAGAGAGGCAGGAAAGCAGGGAGTGCAGTCCGCAAGGCAGGAGAGATCCCTCTAAGTTCTTGTCACTGGCCACCAGCTTGAGCCATCTGGGTGTAATGTAGAACTGGAAATTGTGCCAAAGATGACTGAGCCCTGCTTTGGTATGAGAAAGTTAAACTTGTATTCAAAATGGATGCTGAGCAACATAAAATTGTAAGAATTCTCTATATATCTCCGACATCAATCCAGCACCAAAAGTTTTATTCTAATATTCCCCCTTTCTGGGAAAGGCAAAATAATAGAAACAAAATCCAGATCAGTGGTTGCTCAGGGCTGTATGAAGGAATTTTTGGCATGATAGGGCTGTTCTGCATGGTACAGTAGTGATGGGTATACAATGCTATGCATATGTCAACACCTACACAATTCTACAAAGAGTGAATTTACTGTATGCAAATAGGAAAAACATCCAGGATGTTGGAAGAATCCAACATGGGATACAGATTGTGACAAATGAATCTAAACTGTATTAAAATTATTCACTTGGTAAACTATCACTCCTGCAATCCTAGCGACTCAGGAGGCTGAGATGGGAAGGTGGTTTGAGGCCAGGGTTCCAGTGTAGCCTGGGCAACACAGTGAGATCCTATCTCCAAACAAAAAAAAAAAAAAAAAAAAAAAAAGAAAAGAAAAAGAAAAAAAGCTAGGCATTGCCATGCATGCCTTTAGTCCCAGATACTGGGGAGACTGAGGTAGGAGGATCTCTTGAGCCCAGGAGTTCGAGGCTGCAGTGAGCTATGAGTATGCCACTGCACTCCAGCCTGGGTGATAAAGTGAGACCCCCAACTCTTAAAAAACAAAACAAAAACCCACCACAGTGAAGGGGGTAGAGAAGAAGGAACTGGCTTTAGTGACTTTGGAAAACAGTGTGTTGACTGAATAAGTAAGATTGGGGATGAAAAGAATGATAAAAATGCTGTACTTTAGTTAGAAATCTGTTTCTCCTAGGTATGTGGATTAGCAATTCTGAAGCAAATTTTCATGTATACTAGAGTTAAATTAGTGCCTGTATTGTGGCTAATGAGTGTCAGGTTTCTCAATGTCAAAGAAAATACAAACAAACATTTTGGGAATTTTTATATTAAAAATTTACAGTTATAAAAACCAAATCACATTTAGTTATATATTTAATGAATCATTTTTATTGCAAAGGGTAAATTACATGAAATTGACAAAATTTAGTCCATGTAATATCTATCAAAATACATACATGTAAGTGTGTGTATATTTATATATGTATACAGTACAGTTTTCACAAAAAGCTTCAACATTCCTAAGAAACACAGACATAGTCATTCTGGTACAATATGGATTTAAAATAAGTTCATGGTAATCCTTCCTGATGCCAATTTTAAAATGAAGACCGTCTAAATTTTTCTGACCAGTTATTAGTTGCCCTGCCTCTCGGAAATGTGTTTAAACTTTTCTTTCAATTATTTGATACCTTTTGCCCAAGAGATTACTATCTCTCTCTTTTTTTTTTTTCTTTTAAGACAGAGTGTTGCTCTGTCACTCAGGTTGGAGTGCAGTGGCACAATTCCTGATCACTGCAACCTCTGCCTCCCAGGCTCAAACGATCCTCCCACCTCAGCCTCCCCAGTAGCTGGGACCACAGGCACATACCACCAAGCTTGGCTGTTTTCTTTTCTTTTTGTATTTTTAGTAGAGTTGGGCTCTTGCCATATTACCCAGGCTGGTCTTGAATTCCTGAGCTCAAATGATCCACCTGCCTCGGCCTCCCAAAGTTCTGGGATTACAGGTATGAGCCAGCATGTCCGGCCTGAGATTACTCTCTCTTATAAGAAGTTTCATAAGTTTTTCCACTGAGGAAAGTGATGCTTGTTTGATTTCCTCTAAATTTACTTCTTCACATTCGAAAGGAGACTCTTTTCTTCCTTAGAACTTGAAGATTCAGTGTGAAAGGGCATTTTTCTTTCTTATATTATTAAAAAAGTTACTTTTTAAAAAGTAACATTTTTATTTTTATTTTATTTATTCATTTTTGTGAGACGGAGTCTTGCTCTGTTGCCAGGCTGGTGCAGTGGTGCAATCTCAGCTCACTGCAACCTCTACCTCCTGGGTTCAAACGATTCTCCTGCCTCAGCCTCCTAGTAGCTGGGAGTAGAGGTGCGTGCCACCATGCCCAGCTATTTTTGTATTTTTAGTAGAGACAGGGTTTCACCATGTTGGCCAGGATGGTCTTGATCTCTTGACCTCATGATCTGCCTGCCTTGGCCTCCCAAAGTGCTGAGATTACAGGCATAAGCTACCGTGCACAGCCAACATTTTTATATTTTATATAGAGATGGGGTCTTGCTACATTGCCCAGGCTGGTCTCAAACTCCTGGGCTCAAGCAGTCCTCCTGCCTTGGCCTCCAAAGTGCTAGAATTACATGCATGAGCCACTGTGTCTGGCCAAAAATGTTAGTTTTCACGTTTATAGCATGCAAAGTGTTATTCTCTTCCACTTTAATTCACAAAGGCTCTTTATGTCTTCCCACTTTTATCACTCTTAATGAACCCACCCTGTATCTACTAAAATTCTGGAGGAGTCATGGGCAGAATTACAGAAGAATTCTGGTCATATGACAGTTTCATAAAAGGACAATATCATAATGTGCAAGTTCTAGTAAAATGCAAATCTTATCTTGTTTCACCAGCTTACTATTTAGGCTTTTTTTTTTTTTTTTTTTGGCCTATTCTGACTTTGGATCTTAACTATTTTCAACTATCTTTTTGCTTGTAGAGGCATTCTTTGGTTCCTAAGAGGTATTAAAGTGAGGGATTACTAACGGTGAAGCTACTTTGGCATGCAGGATGCTGCTGTGTACATATATACTAGTGTATATGAATATAAACCCTTGTCTTTTTTTTTTTTAATAAAAGTGAGTTTTCATCTGAGGTGCTTGGAATGATTCACAAACAACTTGGCACACTCTTCTGGCCTGTTTACCCCCATTGAAATGTTATTTTATAAATTACATCTTAATTCACAGAATTTTTTCTTGATAGTATAAGAAATTCTCAAATATTTTCTATAGGGGCACACAACTTTCTATTTAAATGTCTAAGAACTAAATTTTCTGTCGCCTTCCGAAATCCTATTCTTAAAATTAAAAATATAGGAAAGCACAAATGTTTCCTTCATTAGGTCAATTTTTTCACTAATTTCTTCATTTAAAAAGTGAATTCTTTTCCTGTTTTTCCTCATTTCATCCAATAGTTTCCATTTCTACTAACATGGTGTGGCAGAAAGAACATGGGTTTTGGAACTAGATAAACCTGAGTTTGAATTTTGATTCTGTCACTGTAGGTAGCTATGTGGCCTTGGCTCAGTTTCTCATCTCTAAAGTGGAGACAAAAATACCCATGGTTTGGGTGGCTGGTCAGATTAAATAAAAAATATATGCACAAAATTTGGTACATGGTAGGCATTCAACATGTTAATGCATTTCTCACTACATCAAGTGTTTCAAAACTAATTCTATGGAGGAACCAAAATTTAGTAGTGTTATTAATAAAAGGCCACATGTTTTCTTAAAACTCTTAATTTCTAATTTTGATTCATCACTTTTTTTTTTTTTTTTTTGAGGCTGGGTCTCACACTGTCACCCAGGCTGGTGTGCAGTGGCGAAACACAGCTCACTGCAGCCTCAACCTCCCAGGTTGAAGTAATCCTCCTGGGCTCAAGTAATCCTCCCGCCTCAGCACCCCAAGTAGCTGGGACTACAGGTGCATGCCACCATGCCTGGTTAATTTTTGTATTTTTTGTAGAGACAGGGTTGCCCAGGCTGGTCACGAACTCCTGAGCTCAAGCCATCTGTCTACCTCGGCCTGCAAAGTGCTGGGATTACAGGCATAAGCCAACGGCCCTGGCTTGATTCATGGCATTTTAATGAAAAATTTCATGTTTTTTCGGTATGCCAAAGTGCCATGTATGAAATATGAAATTTGGAAGAATCGATGTAATTGTACAGCCATAGGAAGGCCTCCCTTCACCATACAAAAAGGTAACCTTTGCTCTATTGCTGCCACCAAGGGCCATTTTGTGGGATGTGGTAACTTTAAGAATATTTATTACAATTAAAAAAATCAAAATATGCCATACTTCATAAACATCTTATCAGTAAGTTAGAGGTTTAATAAAGAGGTTCAATAAACAGAAATTTTATTTAACATATATTTCAACATGAAATCTATAAATTGCAAAGGAGCACTGTGAATTCTTTGGAAAAACGTTTGTTTGCTCTACTCACAAGCTTCATCCTTGTGGCATGTATTCAGAGCTAGGTTATGTCCTGCTTTTTGTTTAGGCAGGCATAATGTCTTTCATGGTATTCTCAGAACTCTGTTAAACTTCACTGCTTTGTTAAATGTCACTGCTCTGTTAAACTTCACTGCTCACAAAATCTGAGTTAGGACAAATGTTCATGGGGGTTGTTGCTCACATGTTTTCCTATGGCTGGTTTTCACAAAACGGTATGCATCTAGTCCTAGGGAAGTACATGAAAGGTCTTCTTAGACGGATTCTGCTGGAATTATCTCTTGTCTCTGCAGCTGCTGGTTCTATCTTCTCTCTTCTCCTGGAAATCAGAAAGAAGAAACAAGCATGCAAACACATGCCAAAACACTGCAGCTACAAACTAGGCTGACATGTCAAATAGTGGCATATTCAACACATCCTGACATCATTCTCCCAGGTAATGAGTTTAAGATTGCAGAGGACTTTATAGATTATTTACCTCAACCCTTACATTATGTTCATCAGTACCTTTCTACTCTAAAAGGTAAAATTCCCACTTTGAAAATGTGCAGTTTTACAATATCATTAAAAATTCAGGTTTCAGGCTGGGCACAGTGGCTAACGCCTGTAATCCCAGCACTTTGGGAGGCCGAGGCAGGCGGATCACGAAGTCGGGAGTTCGAGACCTGCCTGGCCAACATGGTAAAACCCTGTCTCTACTGAAAATACAAAAATTAGCTGTGTGTGCTGGCACGTGCCTGTAATCCCAGCTGCTCGGGAGGCTGAGGCAGGAGAATCCCTTGAACCTGGGAGGCGGAGGTTGCAGTAAGCTGAGATTGCTCCACTGTACTCCAGCCTGGGTGACAGAGCAAGACTCCGTCTCAAAAATAAATAAATAAATAAAAATTCAGGGTTCAAAGTGAAATGATAAATTCTAATTTATTTGAACCTGCATTTAAAGCTCTTTATTTAAAATTTTCTTCTAGATAAATTCTGGGTACCAATAAAACTCTATAGTGTTGTATAGCAGAAATGGGAGTTCTTGGGGGTGAGCTTGTGAAAACAATGTCCGACGGAACTAATGATGAAAGGGCCTGGAACCCACATAGTTAGGCACGCCAGAAGGAAACCTATGGGAACATTAGCCCCTGCTTCCCTCTCCAGTTTTTTCTCTCCCTCTTCATCCTGAATCTGTTTCATTTAGTCCTTGGAAGTTCCTTTCTCCTTTTCAGTCTCTGAAATAATATTCATTTGGCTAACTCTGAAGCTTTTTTCAGAACTCAGAATGTTGTTCATTTCCCATATGTTCATATGCCTGTGAAGTTAGTGCTTTTTACACTGATTTATAAGAGACCGCTTATTTTTATGTTTCCTCTATCAGACCGTATCCATCAGGAAAACAAAGCCATTATAAGAATTATGGGACTAAGGTACTTATCACAGGAATTACATTTTACCAAATATAGGAGCTGGGAAAATGAGGGTCTGGAAAAGGAAAATTGAAGGATCAGAGTATATGGGGCAAGGGATAAAAATGTAGCCTGCTCTACTGTGGCGTGCCAGTCAGGATCAGAGAAAGGATGACTGAGCAGGCTGTTTGAAGCACTGGTGTGGGTAAACAAATTGAAGCTTGCAGGGAAATCTGATAATCCAAGCATGCCCAAGCTGCTGAAGTGGAACTATGAAGGGGGAGCTTGCTGGGGAAATCTATGGAAACTGCCGAATGTGGAACGACTCTGCTTTTCTGAAGCTACTGTCTTCAGGTCTGCAGCCCAGTGCCTGGTGGTCGGCCTAGGGCTGCTGTTGGTCAGCAGGGCCTGTAGTCATGAAGATGCTATAGAGTGGAGAGGAGTGAGCTGCTGGGCACCTTTGTATTTGTCCATCACTGACTAACCATGATGATCTTCTAACAATAATGGCTTCTGACCACTTCTGCCTTCTTCTTTTGTGGCCAAAATTTCTAACTGAGAAATGTGAATCCTAGCCTTAGCAAAGTTGGCTATTTTGTGCTCATGATGTATTTTTAGAATGTAGCAAAGTTTCTGGCACATAGACGGTACTTAATATTTAATAAACGGAAGAAGAAATGGAAGACCACTTATACAATGCAAATGAGAAGCAAAGCAAAATTTGTCAGAGACATGAAAGTATTTCATAAATCTCTTTCTTGACTATAATAGTTAATTCAACATTTATGTAGTACTGCTGTTTTATTGATAGATTGGTGACTAAGAGAAGTCCAGCAAAAGAAGAATTTGTCAGTGTATGTCCAGTACTGTCAATGGGAGAGGGTACTTGGACTGACTACTTCACTGGCTTTCCTCATCAGTGCAGGCTACACTTTGATCCCCTTCCCCACGAACTCCCAGATGGACAAAGGACAGGGGACCAGGAAGGGTAGGTGACTTTCTTGTTTGTCATCACTGTTTCTAGACCAGTGTTTCTCATCCTTCGCTTCCCATTTGAATTCTTCAGAGAGCTTAAAAATATCTAAATGCCCAAGCTGCCCTCAGGTATGACCCAGGCATCAGTATTTTTTAAAGCTCTCCATGTGATTCCAATGTGTATCCATGTTCATGTTTCTATGTGAAGTTAGTGCTTCACATAGAACTAACTTGTGTTTCAAAGTTAGTTAGCAGCATTGGTATTACCTAGTCTCATCCCAGACCTACTACATTAGAAAATGTATTTACCAAGATCTGTAGGTGGTACAAAGTACACTAAAGTTTGAAAAGTGCTGTTCCAGATCATTTTTACCAGAACCCAGTGCCAAGGCAAAAAATAAAAAAAAAGATTCAGTAATGTCTAGTTTTAACACTGCATGTTCTCACTCGTAAGTGGGAGTTGAACAATGAGAACACATGGACACAGGGAGGGGAACATCACACGCCAGGGCCTGTCGGGGGTGGAGGGCTAGGGGAGAGATAGCATTAGGGGAAATACCTAATGTAGATGATGGGTTGATGGGTGCAGCAAACCACCACGGGACATGTATACCTATGTAACAAACCTGCATGTTCTGCACATGTATCCCAGAACTTAAAGTATAATTAAAAAAAAAAAAAACTCTCAAGACACAGAAAAGATATGGATACTTACCGATGTACACTTCTTAGCAGTTTTTCAATTAGGATACACATCTAAAGTTATTTGAAGATTGGTACACTAATACCTGTTTCTGCTCCCATGACTGATGAAAATACTCTGAATATAAAAATGTTTATATTCTGTAGATAGCCCAGAAATAATGTTGTACTCCTATAACCATCTGATCTTCAACAAGGTTGACAGAAACAAGCAATGGGGAACGGATTCCCCATTCAATTAATTGTGCTGGGATAACTGGATAGCCATGTGCAGAAGATTGAAGCTGGACCCCTTCCTTATACCATACACAAAAACATCAACTCAAGATGGATTAAAGACTTAAATGAAACCTAAAACTATAAAAACCCTGGAGGATAACCTAGGAAACACCATCCTGGACATAGGCCTTGGTAAAGATTTCATGATGAAGACATCAAAAGCAATTGCAACAAAAGCAAACATTGACAAATGGAACCTAGCTAAACTAAAGAGCTTCTGCACAGCAAAGTAAACTATCAACAGAGTAGACAGACAACCTACAGAATGGGAGACAATATTTGCAAACTATGCATCTGACAAAGTTCTAACATCCAGAATCTTTTTAAAAAATCTTTTTGAGATAGAGTTTCACTCTTGTTGCCCAGGCTGGAGTGCAATGGTGCAATCTTGGCTCACTGCAACCTTTGCCTCTCAGTTTCAAGCGATTCTCCTGCCTCAGCCTCCTGAGTAGTTGGGACTACAGGTGCACACCACCACGCCTGGCTAGTTTTTTGTATTTTTAGTAGAGACAGGGTTTCACCATGTTGGCCAGGCTGGTCTCGAACTACTGACCTCAGGTGACCAGCCAGCCTCGGCCTCCCAAAGTCCTGGGATTACAGGCATGAGCCACCATGCCTGGCCTAATATCAAGAATCTATAAGGAACCTAAAATGAATTAACAAGCAAGAAACAACCCCATTAAAAAGTGGGCAAAGAACATGAACAGACATTTTTCAAAAGAAGACACACATGTGACCAAGAAGCATATGAAAAAAAGCTCAACATCACTAATCATTTGAAAAATGCAAATCAAAACCACAATGAGATAACATCTTACACCAGTTAGAATGGCTATTATTAAAAAGTCAAAAAATAGCAGATACTGGTGAGGCTGTGGAGAAAAGGGAATGCTTATACACTGCTGGTGGGAATGCAAATTAATTTAGTCATTGTGGAAAGCAGTGTGGCAATTTCTTAAAGAACTTAAAACAGAAGTACCATTCAACCCAGCAATCCCATTATCGGGTATATACCCTGAAGGAATGCAAATCATTCTATCATAAAGACATGCAGGGGTATGTTCATTGTAAGCACTATTCACAAAGACACGGAATCAACCTAAATGCCCATCAATGGTAGACTGGATAGAGAAAATGTGGTACATATACACCATGGAATACTATGCAGCCATAAAAAAGACCAAGATCATGTCCTTTGCAGCAACATGGATAGAGCTGGAGGCCACAATCCTAAGTAAACTAATACAGGAACAGGAAGCCAAATACCACACGTTCTCACTTAGAAGTGGGAGCTAAACATTGAGTACACATGAACACAAAGACGGGAACAACAGACACTGGGGCCCACTTGAGGCCATGGAGGGTGGGAGGAAGGAGAGGATTGAAAAACTACCTATCAGGTACTCTGCTTATTACCTGGGCAATGAAATAATCTGTCCATCAAACCCCTGCGATACACAATTTACTTATTTAACAAACCTGCACATGTACCCCTGAACCTAAACGTTAAAAAAACTTCATATTCTGACCTTTAAGGATTTTTTTAAATGACAGGATATTTGCATAATTCTAATGAACAGTCTTATAATAAAAAGCCAGTTGAGGAGAAAACCTCTATAAACCAATCCCAAGAAATATTAATATTAATACGGGGTTCTTACCTGTATTGATGTGTACATAAAATCAGAAGTTTCCTAAAACAAGAAAAAAAGAGCTTCTTCAAATACTTACCAGAAGTGGTATTATTTGTAAAGTATTTTTGATGGATGGGTTTTTGCAAATGGATTCTTGTATATCTGAAATAATTATATCACAATACCAAAATAATTTAGTTACATATATAGAAATAGAAGAATGACTAAAGAATCAAATATTAAATTCTGATGTATCAAAATATTCAAAATTGAGTAAGACACTTTTTTCCAGTCACCCCCAGAAATAGTCTTTATACTTATATTAGGTCCAAAAGTGGAAGTAATTTGATTAGAAATAATTACATAAAGCTTATGTTGATAAAAGATAATTCCTAGTACTTTGACTATTATATAACGATCTTCATTCAAATATTACGTTTTCTTTCTTTCTCTTTTTTTAATAAAAAAATATTAATTTCATCCTTGGAGCCTCTCAGAAAAAAAGAGATGTTTATTTAGTTATTGAGGCATAAAAAATTGAGTCACTTGGTTGCCTTTTCAATTTTTAGATTTTTGTCTATATAATAGCAAGCATCTGAGCAAAAGAAAAATAATTCAGGCAGAATCTTTTACATGAAGCATTTAAATATGTAGAAGTATCAAACAAAAATTTAAAAAATTCTTCAATTATTGACTTAATTTTTTTATTCTTTACCTGCATAATTTTACATCTTAAACTCATAGCCTTAGTTCATGATTGTAGCTCCCTGCTTTTTATTTTTTTTTAAAAATAGTTTTAATTTTAAAATACAGAGTATATAAAACATATGCATATTTTAATGAATACTTATAAAGCTAATGTCTGTGGAACCACCTAGATTAAGAAATTTGAACATTATCACTACCTTGGAAGCTTCCTGTCACTTCTTGCCTCCACAATGCCCTATGGATTTCATTTCCTTCCTTCACCCAAAGAGGTAACTAACCCACTACACTGCTTTGTTTCTTTGTGATTTTAGCACATATTAATTGCAAGGATGCAAAATAATATTGTTTAGGTTTATCTGTTTTTAGACTTCATATAAATAGAATTGTACTGTCTTTATTCTCCTGTGATTTACGTTTTTTGCCCCAAATTATGTATTTTTAGATCCATCAATGATGATGTGTGTAGCTGTAGTTAATTTTCTTTTTGTTTTTTCTCTTACTGTTCCAGTTTGGAAAATTTCTATTGACCTATATTCAAATTCACTGATTCCTCAGTGGTGTCTTGAGTCTAATGATGAACACATATAAAACATTTTCCATTTCTGTTACTTTTCTTTCTCACATATCTGTCTCTTAAGAGTTTTCATTTCTCTGCTGAAATTCTCCATCTGTTCATGCATGTTGTCTATCTCTCTCATGTTGTTCATCTTTCCCACCATAACCTTTAACATATTAGTCATAGTTATTTAAATTACTGTCTGATAGTTCCAACATCTTGGTCATCTTTGCATCTTATTCATTGATTGCTTTGTCCCTTGATAGTGTTTTTTTTCTCTTGTTCTTTTTGTATGTCTCATAATTTTTGACGAATGCTGGATATGATTTTTGGAATACTAGAAACTGAGGTAGATAGTATTTGTGTCTTGAAATGAGTATATCCACTTCTGCTAGGTCACTGGAGTGTATGTGTGTGTAGGTGTGTGTAGTGTGTATGTGTAGATGTTTAAAAACTTAGTAGGGAATTTGAGCTGTTTGTTTATTTATTTATTTATTTTGAGACAGGGTCTCCCTCCGTTGCCCAAGGAGGAGTGCAGTGTTATGATCATGGCTCATTGCAGCCTTGACCTCCCTGGGCTCAGGTTATCCTCCCACCTCAGCCTCTGGAGTAGCTGGGACCACAGGTATGTGCCACCATGCCTGACTAATTTTTTTTTGAATTTTTTGTAGAGACAGGGTTTCACCATGTTGCCCAGCTGGTCTCAAACTCCTGGGCTCAAGTGATCTGCCTGCCTCAGCCTCCCTGAGTGGGTTTGGGTTTTGTTGTTGCTGTAGCCGACAACAGTAATTACTAACATTACTAATTTCAAATTCCATTGGTGTTATTCTGTACTTATTCAGGGGTCTTGGAGAGTCCCCCCACCCCCTGAAATGTTCCTGTTCTGCCCCCATGTTTTGGCCTTCCTGCATGTGCGCACAGTAGAAGGGATCTCTCTTTATGCTCTTGCCTGTCTCTCAGTAGTAGATTTCTATTATTTGTTACTTGGTACTTGCTGATCTGGTGGTGGGGAAGTACGGTAATTTTTCTGTTGTCCTGGTCCAGGCTCAGTCTTAAGCAGACCCTGTGTGGCCTCTCTTTCTCCTGCTCCTCCTTCCCATGACAGTTAACTTTGCCTTCTATCTTTGGCAGGTTTTGTACAAGAGAATTTTAGACCCTCCCACCAACAGTAGGATACCTCTAATGGTTTTGGCCCGGGAATGTGTCTTGCTCCTCTTCCAGGGGTAGAGGCTTTTTTCCTTTACTGTTTCACTAGCCCCAGTAAGTCTTCACCTGTGCCTTGAGAGCAATCAAGAAGGTACGCTGCCTCTGTCCCAGATGGCCTTTATTCTGCAGGGGGAAATGTTCTGTATGGGGGGCGCTTCATGCCTTTCCTACAGCAGTGGCTGCTGCCTTTTGTCAGGCCTGCACTACTGAGGAAGGGTTTCTCTTGTCTCCTGCTCTGCCTCCTATTTGCCTCATGAACACACACTCAGTGTAGATCCACGGAGAAGAATCTGAGTAGGTGTGAGGTTCCCTTGTGCCTATGGCTCCCAGTGGTTCTACATCCTCATAGTAGTCCACATTCATCTTTTAGCAATCTGTTGAAAATTTAAACAATTTCTAATATCAGCTTGTATGGAACCTGACATTTCCCTCTCTCATATTCTCCCATGGGTGAGAAAGTGTTCACAACCTGTCTCTCTTTAGATGTTTCTGTGTTTCCTTTTTGTTTTTGAGATGGAGTCTCACTCTGTCGCCCAGGCTGGAGTGCAGTGGCGCGATCTCGGCTCACTGCAAGCTCTGACTCCCGGGTTCATGCCATTCTCCTGCCTCAGCCTCCCTAGTAGCTGGGGCTACAGGCACCCACCACCACGCCCGGCTAATTTGTTTGTATTTTTAATAGAGACGGGGTTTCACCGAGTTAGTCAGGATGGTCTCAATCTCCTGGCCTCGTGATCCGCCCGCCTCGGCCTCCCAAAGTGCTGGGATTACAGGCGTGAGGCACCGCGCCCGGCCTGTTTCTGTGTTTCCTTGGATGCTAGGCTGCTTGGTTGTGATGTGACCTCAGCTCTCTAATTGGCTCAAGAAAAGTTATACTTTTGTCACTTATCTTTTATTGTTCTTAGAATGGGATTGATGCATTCTGGCCTTCTACATTTTAGGCGGAAATAGAATCCACACACACAAAATATATACGTATAATATGTGTGTGGTTCTGAACCATAGGTGATTTTTGCCACCCGGGGGATATTTGGTAATGTCTGGGAGCACTTCATTGTCATGATAGGGAAGTGCTGTGGCATCTAGTGGGTAAAGGCCAGGGATGCTGCTAAACATGTTACGATGCACTAGACAGTCCCCCACAATAAAAATTATCCAGCTCAAAATGTCAACGGTGTTAAGGTAGAGAAAATCTGATAGATACATAAAATATTTCTATTATTGTTCATATATAAATAATTAGAAATTCCTATTATTTTTTTTCTTCAGAATCATGATTTATTTAGAAATGTGTTTCTTAATGGCTATCTTTTGGTTAGTAGATTTCAGGTAAATTGCATTGTGGTTAGAGGATATGGTCTGTGTGACTCTGATCCTTTGAAATGTGTTAAGGCTTGTTTCATGGTCTTATACATGGTTCATTTTATAAAGGTTGTACGTTTACTTACAAAGAACGTGCCCCTTTGATCAGGTTTGTTAATCATAGTCAATTTTTATACATCTATTTGATTTTTAAAATCTATTCTATCAATTACTGACAATGGTATGTTAAAATCACCCACCGTGGTTAAAAATATTTTATATATTTGAGGCTATGTTCTCAAGTGCATATAAAAATCTTATGTATTTCTTCTGAAGTAAGACTTTGCTCATCATAAGTGCTCATCATAAAGTGACATATATATATATATATACATATACATATATTTGCTGTTAACAAAGTCTCTTCGTTTTTGTCTGAACATATTTTTAATTCACCCCCCTTCTTGAGAGACATTTTCATGTTAAGAAGGTATTAAATTTGAAAGTTACTTTCTCTCAGCACATTGGACATGTTGTCAATATCTCCTGATTTTTTTTCATTGTTTTCTGCCTTTTTGTTGCTGATTAACATTCATTGTGGATGTATCTTAGTGGTCATTTCTTTTTATTTACTCTGAAATGTGTTGGGTTGTTGAATCTGTAGATTGGCATTGTTCATCAAATTGGAAAAGTTGTCAACCGTTATCACTTTAGATATTGTCTTAGCCTTTCAGACCTTTTTATTTACTCTTTTGTGTCTTTTAAGCTCTATATCATATTTTCCATCTCTTTGTCTCTCTAAGATATACTGTGGATAAATTTCTTTGATTCATAATCTAGTTTACTAATTCTCTGTTCAGACGTCTGTAATCTGGTGGTTAAACCACCTACTAAATTTTACATTTCAATTATTATATTTTCAATTTCCAGGCATTCTATTTGGGCCATTTTTCAAATCTGTTTGCTCTTTCTTTATAGTTTCTTATTCCCTGCATGTTTAAGTTTAAAAATGACTGCATTTCTGCATTTTAAAGCTTATTTCTGACAACTTTAGAGCATACAAGCATAGTTATTTATAGTTTGTGCCTGGTAATTTCATTATCTGAATCCTTTCTGGGTCTGTTTATTCTGTTTTGTGGATTCTTTTGATTTTTTTTCTTGGTGCCTTTTTTCATTACGGATTAAGTTATTTACTTTTTTTTTAATTGTAGGCTGCTCATTTTCCTTGGATTTCACTTGTGATAATTCTTTGAGGACTGGAATATAGGTGCAGAAGATACATAAATGTACTTTTCCCAAGTGTTTTGGAATACTACCAGTTTGGGATCATTCTAAATTAAGTTCTTTGCTTGAGATCTTAAGAACTATTCAGTTAATGTGAGTATGGGCTGTAAATTAGTGTGATACTTGTATTAGACTGTGATTCTACATTCTCAGGGATCATTTTTCCTCTATCACCTGCTCAATACTGAAGTTTAAAAAATGCAAGCCTTTTTTTTTTTTTTAGAAAAAAATTCCCTCTCCCTGCGCTGCCTCCTCTGTGTATGCATGTGTAGTGCACAGCTCTTCGGGTGGCCCAGCTTTATGGTGGAAAGATCTTCTGTGAGACTACTCATCCTGAGTAGGCCTGTTCCCTTTTTCCTATGAGGCCATGGAAAGCAAAGTTCAATTTCACCCCATGAGTTAAATATCCTCAGGACAAGAGCTAGCTGCTGCACTCTCCTTATCTTTTTGAGTTCTTATCTACATTTAGTTATTGGTCTTAAGAATGTCTTACATTCTTACTAGCTCATCACTATATTGCAGGTTTAAAAAATACTTAATCAAGGATTTATGGTTGTTTTGATGGATGGTCAGTATAGATATGTAGCCTGTCCATTGCTGAAACAGAAGTCTATTCATATATTCTGAAAAGACAGATAAGTCTGCCAAAGAAGTTGACATCATCATAAATGATATGGCATACTTGAAATAGTATTCAAATATAGTCTGAATGGTTATGCACTCAGGTAGTTGGTAATATGGATATATTTTGTATTTTTCTTTTCAATTTTTAAATTAAAGTTTAAATTAAAATTGTCTAAGTATAAATGCAGTATTTCTTATAAAAGGTGTTCTTCCATACTTACAATGTAGTCTTTCACTGAGATCATTAAGGGACTCTAGGATCTTCTGTTCTTCAGCTGACAGTGTGCAGATGTTGAATTGTTGAGTTTTATTTAAAGGTAGATTTGATTTCTGTATCTGTTTGCTATTCAAGACAGTCAGAATCTCATCCTCCGGCACTGATGCTTTCACTAAGTTTTCAGCCATCAAAAACTCAGAAGTACTATCTGAAACTACAGAAACTTACATCAGTTATTCTTTGAACCCCTTTTGTCTTTGAGATCAGCCCTTATATATACTTACATATACTTATACATGCTTAACTGTCTGTATGTATTCATATTACAAGCAGAAACCTAGCAAATATCTGCTACTTTGATTTCATTTATCAGGATCCTCTATCTAGCATTTTCCTATCCTTCGTTTTTTAAAAAAGGATATTCAAAATGACGGCAGTGAGTTAATAAAAATTCCCAGAGTATTACTTGAACTAAAGAAAAAAACTATATAATGCAGATAGTTTTTGTCATGTTTGTTATTCATTGGTAGTACAAAAAAGATGAAGAAGACTGTCTTTATAATAGTAGTTATAATGAATTATAACAAAGTAAGACCAAAAAACCCTTAAGATTAGAAACTTTGATGATCAGCTAAACAGAACTGACAGCCTAGAAACAGACCCAATTAGATATAAGAACATGTGATCAAAGAAGCATCAAATATTTGACAGAAGGGAAAGATGATTTTACATATTAGTTTTTGCTTATAAAAGAATCAATTTGGGCTGGGTGCAGTGGCTCATGCCTCTAATCCCAGCACCTTGGAAGGCTGAGGCAGGTGAATCACTTGAGGTCAGGAGTTCAAGACCAGCATGGCCAACATGGTGAAACCTCGTCTGTACTAAAAATACAAAAATTAGCCAGGTGTTATTGTGGGTGCTTATAATCCCAGCTACTTGGGAGGCTCAGGCAGGAGAATCACTTGAACCCAGGAGGTGGAGGTTGCAGTGAGCTGAGATTGTGCTACTGTGCTCCAGCCTGGAGCTCTGTCTCAAAAAAAAAAAAAAAAAAAAGAAATCAATTCAGAGTTTTACTTCCCACTGTTTGTTTAAACAAATTCGTAAGAAATTAAAGACAAACTTAAGGAATCAACCCATTAATTAAAGCAGAAGAAAATGAAACAAATGTTTCTAAATGTCTGTATTGGGAAGGTTCTTTGACAAAGCTTAAAAGTAATGGAGACATCAGTAAGAAAAGACTAAATAAAACATGTTTATTTAAAGCCAGTCTTCCCTAATAGACTTTACACTTCTGAAGAGCAACACTTTTGTATATTTTTTTCATTATTGTAAATGTTAAGTATTCCTTGTCCAAAATGCTTGGGACTAGATATGTTTCAGGTTTTGGACTTTTTTAGAATTTTGGATATTTGCATACACATGAGATATGTTGGTGATGAGACCTAGGTTTAAACATGAAACTCAGCTGGATGCGGTGGCTCATGCCTGTAATCCCAGCATTTTGGGAGGCCGAAGTGGGTGGATCACCTGAGGTCAGGAGTTCAAGACCAGCCTGGCCAACATGGTGAAGCCTCATCTCAACTAAAAATACAAAAATTACCCAGGTATGGTGGCATACGCCTGTCATCCCAGCTACTTGGGAGGCTGATGCAGGAGAATTGCTTGAACTTGAGAGGCGGAGGTTGCAATGAACCAAGATTGCACCATTGCACTTCAGCCTAGGTGACAGAGTGAGACTCTGCTTAAAAAAAAAAAAAAAGAAACTCATTTATGTTTCATATATACCTTATACACATACCTGAAGGTAATTTTATATAATATTTTAAATAATTTTGTCCATGAAATGAAGTTGGTGTATATTGAACCATCAGAAAGCAAAGATATCACTGTATCAGCAACCTATGTGGATTATCTGTGGTTGTTTGGTATCACTGTTATTCCTGACTCCAAATTTATATCTACTGAAAAGCAATAATGTTCTTACACCTATTCACACGTAAGTACTTAACAGTAAAAAATAAGATGTATCCTTCACACTGTCAGAAAATAATGTGTTCAGGGCAACTAAGCACCACAGTAACATCACCAGAATACCTGTGTCGGCTGTTCAACAACAGCAACAAGGAACAATGGCAGGCTTCCAATCTTAGGTATTATGTTACATTTTGACCAGATGGTTACTGTACACTGTATTTTATTTTTTTAGGTGAGAAGAAACATCAGAAGCAGCTGAGGCACAAGGAAGTGGGTCCTCTAGGGATGAGGAAATATTCTGCTAGATGACCTTAAAAAATGTTTCTTCCAGAGACTTTTGCCTCATTTACAATGTCTTTTTTTGTCCTATAAGCCTCTCTTTGATTTTATAAACTGACATAATTTCTTGTTGTTATGAGTGTACACTGCTCTAGTCGTTCAATAAACCCATCACACATTTTCATCATATTGTCAATTGGCACCTTTTTCTTTTTCAGTGTTAACAATGCCATTATCATCACTATTATCACAATCATCTTAATTCAGAGCTCTTTTGGCTATTTCATCATTGGTCAATGAAAACACCTGGAGTCTTATTATCGATGTTAATAACCTCTTTGATATCCACTTCTTCCAGCTTACTGATAGACTCTGAAGGTATATTTTTTTGCTTACGTAATGAGGTCAGACATAATTTTTTCTCACTTGACATACAGAATCCTTCAGTCACTACCTTGTTCATCATCACTGAACATAGTTGCAGGCCAGAGGTTGTGCCAGGAATGCACAATTGTGTCTTTAGTCCCTGTGTTCCAAGTGTTTGCAACAGCATGTATGGCATCTTTCATGCTAAACTCGTTTTGAAAACCTTCTACATCCACATCTCTGTTCACTGTTGCTGGCATGCTGTTCAAGAAAGTGTTTATATGTATTTACTCTTCATCTACCTAACGATAGTCTGGTCACACAGCTGAATTAATGAAGTAATATTTGGGGGAAAGCACGTGGCATAAAGATTATTTTTGATGAGAATTTCAGCTGGAGGATGAAAAGAACAGTTGTCAAAGAATAACAAAATCTTGCAGTCATCATTCAATCCAGCTTCCCTGATATAAAGTGTTTGTGAAACCAATCAGAAAAGATGTCCCTGGTGATCCATGTCCTTTTGTTAGCACATTAATGGACTGGTAAGAAATTCACTCCTTGAAATCAGTGAGGACACAAGCTTTTGCCTATCATAGCAAATTTACACTTGGGCGTGACTGAGTCATTAGCACATCCTAGCAGTTATTCTGTTATTCTTAATTCTTGTAGGGGCTGTCTCATCAGCTATAGTCAATGTTTTTTTGAGTAACAACACCAAACCAGTGATGTTCATCAGTAACATATACTTCTTCTGGTGTCAGATATTCATCAGCGATGACCTTGGCAAACTCTTCAATGAATTTCTCTGCTGCTTTGTAATCAGCAGACGCTTGATCACCACAAATCTTTAAAAATAATGCTGTGTCTTAAATTTCTATAACCAGCCTGTTGAATATTCATGGTTCTCTTCAATTTTCAGTTCATCATGATAGATCTTTGCTTGTTTCATGATCAGCATACCATTAAGTGGCATGTGCTCATGCGACGCTGATGGATCCACTCTTTGACTTCATGGTTGAAATCCTATGCAGTGTTTAATGTTTTGCATTAACTTCTGTTCATCTCTTCCAAAGCAGAACTTCAACAGTTTATCCTTCTGTTTCTTCAGGTCATATATTGTGGTCATTCCAACACCATCCTTTTCTATAAGACATTTTACACTTAGGTTGCTGGTGTAGTTTCTCCAAGTTTGACTTTCTGGGCTATTGATAAACAGAAATGTTTCCTCTTTTTCTTATCACTGCTACCCACAGGGGTATCTTCAGGTCTTTTTGATATTTTCAACAATATCTTTACATCACAAAGCAGAGAAAAAGCAAAAAAATACAGTGAGTAATGCATGTAGGTCTTGGCCCCATGTGGGGTCTCGTGGGGAATCTGCCATTGGTACATGTATCATTTTATTACTCCTTGTGAGCATGCTTACATGGGGGAATCTGGGTGTGCATGGGAAAGATATAGTGCAGCTGAAGAGGGCTGAGAGGATCTTTTTTCCCCTTGGGGATGCTAAATAAACTGTATGGTATGAGCTTGTGTTTTAGCTGTGACCCATCATATGAAGTCAGGTGTAAAATTTTCCATTTGTGGTATCATGTCAGGGGTCAAAAAATTTTGGATTTTGGAGCATTTTTGATTTTGAAATATTTGGATTAGGGATATTCTACATGTATATCCAATACCTACTTGTAAGCAGAAGATTAGCTCTCAATAATCATTTACTGAATGAACAGATACAAATTAAAATATATGTGAAAATACAATATAAGTAGAATAACATGCAAGTAGTAATGAAACATCTTCAACTAATATAAGAATTAGAATCCTTCATAGCTAAATAATTTGCAGACATCAGTAAGAAAATTTCGAACTCTAATATCTAAGAAAAAAGAGTACAAAGAGACAGTTCACCAAAAAATACACAGAAAAGCAATTAAGCATAATATTAATGAAAGGTATAGAAATCAAAACTAATATAATACTATTTTTCTGTCTATAGCAAATATGAAAAGATTCTACCTCAAGTTGACATACACCACTGGACACACACTACTAGAACAATTTTGAATAATACTTTTCCGGAAAATACTTTAGCAATATATATGAACAGCCATATCAATGCTTATTTCTTTTGATCCAGTATTCATTTAATACATGGAGTTTAATTCAATAAATATTTACTGGGTGGCATTTACATGTCAGTTACTGTAATTTTAATTCTGGAAATCTAACCTACAGAAATAAGTAAAAATCAGAAAATAACTTGATGTAGAAAGATGTTCAATACATTATTATTTAGAATAAAGGAACACTGACAATGACCTGGATGTGCAGGGGTGAGGAGAGTTCAGGTTTTAAATGGTGCTTTAACAATTACATAATACGTTAGCATCTGAGAATAGGCATACAAGAAAAAAAATCACTGGGAACAAAGATCAGAGAAAAATGTTTAAACTAAAACATACCTTCTTCAATATAAGAAGTACCCCTTGTAGTTTGTTTTGGCTCACTTGAACTTAGCAGGACACTTTGTCCAAAATTCTACAAAAATAGAATATTGAATTAAAACATATTTCCATATTTAAAATTCATAATATGTACATGAACTTTTAAAAAACTTTTAATTGCTGTATATATTTTTAGCTACAATTGTTCATGTAACTTGTATATTACATTTTTTAGAGCTGAATACAAGAATTATTATAATAAAGAATTTCTATGGTAATGGAATATTATGAAAAATGTTTTATGTCCACAAAAAAATTTTCAGATTATGATATTGTCCTGGATATTTGGAAGAGGTAAAGTGAGTTGGATGGTAATCAAAAGTGCTAATTAGGCTGACACGGTGGCTCATGCTTGTAATCCCAACACTTTGGGAGGCCGAGGTGGGCAGATGACAAGGTCAGGAGATCGAGACCATCCTGGCTAACACGGTGAAGCCCTGTCTCTACTAAAAATATAAAAAATTAGCCAGGAGTTGTGGCACGTGCCTGTGGTTCCAGCTACTTGGGAGACTGAGGCAGAAGAATCACTTGAACCCAGGAGATGGAGGTTGCAGTGAGCTGAGACTGTGCCACTGCACTCCAGCCTGGGTGACAGAGCGAGACTCTGTCTCAAAAATAAAAAAAAGTGCTAATTAAAGAAAAGGTAAAAAATTACCTTAAAGTTTCTAACCTAGTTGGTTTGTCATTGTAAGGGTGAATCATAACTATTAGCTAAAAGCATCTGACTACAGCTAATGCCAAGGATAGGTAATTATCTTACGTGACAAAACTTAAAACACAAATAGCTGCCCCAATGCTGCACAGAACCTTGAAAACGGAAGTCTCAGAACACTGGCAAAAAGTGTACACATCTAACACTTTCTGAGAGATACCAACTTCCCTTCCCTGAATATGGTCTACCTCCTTCTTTATTACCATTCTGTTTCACTTTAAGAAATAATTGTTTTCTGTCAGATAAAACTGCCTGGCTATAACTATGCGTAACTTTTCTTCAATCTGATCTGAGGAGAAACTGCAGATTTTTGCAACAGCTCTCCTTCAGTAGATCTCATAGTCTTGTTTGATCTCCATTATAGACTTGAGATACCTTGGACTGAAACCCTCGTGCAAAGTGGCAATTGTACTTTTTCTACCTTTCACTTATCTCTTTGAGATTTTCTCCATATAGATGTCATGGGCTGGAGAAAATCCAGTATGATAACATGCATTTCCTAATACAAGGTGACAAGGGCCACTGTTCTAGTGACTGAACCCTTGCTTAGGCTCTGGAATAAAAAACAAAAACAAGTCAAAATAATAAGGATGAAAAAATTTGATTCAGGAACACTGACCTATTCTTAGGCTAACAAGACTTTGGAAGGTGTATAAGTGGATGGGTGAAGATCTGTATGTGAAAGTGGAAGGGAGGCTTCTGAAAAGGACAAAAATGGGCTCTAAATACATTAAGCATGCAAAAGAGCAAGAGACAGAAAAATAGAATAAGACCTAGTAAAATAAAAATGAATTTACAGAGGGCACTAATAACAGGCATTTAAAATTTTGTTTGTTTGTTTCCTTGGTTATTAACTACATATTACTTTTAAATTTATAATATATTAATGAAAATAAGGAAAAAATAAGGGTAAAGATGTTTTTGCATTGTGCATTTTGAGACGTTGGATGGGAACATGGCAGTTGAAATGGAAGGACTTGTTAGGCATTGTTTTATTTGTAATCAGGAAGTTATATCTATAATTAACCATTACGCTATTAAGCAATAAAAATATATGGGTAATGTGATTAACTTTATTTCCATAAACATACAACTAAATGACTTGTTTTGCTGATAAGATTAGATCATTGTTGATTATTCTCCACATTAGTAATCTTATCCATATAAAAATCAGTACTTCCTATAATATACAAATTATAGCACCTTCAACCAGTAACTTGGAATATAAATTCTTCATAAGGCATTTTATTAAAAATATTCCAGTTTTATTAAAAAAAGTCAGAGTGATATTTAAAGTGGAAATTCCAAGTGAAATGCTATTTACTTATCTATCTAGACTTTTAATATTCTAAAGTCAATCCTTGGATCAAGTTAGACCTCTAGAAAATGCCATATTTGATTTCACTTACTTAGCTCTTACAGAATTACCTCCATTTATTTTAATTTTAATTTTATTTATTTAATTTGTTTTGAGAGACAGGGTCTTGCTCTGTCACCTGGGCTGGAGTACAGTGGCACAGTCATAGCTTACTGCAGCCTCAAACTCCTGGGCTCATGCATCCTCCCGGAACCTCAGCCTCCCAAGTAGCTGGGACTCCAGTGCCTGGCTTTTTTATTTTTATTTTTGCAGAGACGAGGTCTTGCTATGTTGCCCATGCTGGTCTTGAACTCCTGAGCTCAAGTAATCCTCCTGCCTTGGCCTCCCAAACTGCTGGGACTACAGGCATGAGCCACCACGCCTGGCCATTATTTTAAAATTGTTATTATGCTTTTTACTTTTATTGAAGACCTCTATCTTGAACAGCCATATTAAACTCTTTATTCATTTGTTGTGGAACCGTTATTAGGAGCATATTCTTTATGTATTTCAAAGTTCCCTATGAAAGGTCCTCAATAGGAAATGTTTTTTAAAACTGTATCCCCAAAACAACATCATTATCAATTTCCCTTGAGAATTATATAACTCATCTAATTTTCCTTTTTGCCATGTCTTCCAGGAAGCTCAGACACAAATAGGATATTCAGTCACATGAAACTATAGTTGTCTTTATGATTAGCATGCTTTTTTTTTTCTTTTTGAGATGGAGTCTTGCTCTTGTTGCCCAGGCTGGAGTGCAATGATGCGACCTCAGCTCACTGTAACCTCCGCCTCCCAGGTTCAAGCAATTCTCCTGCCTCAGCCTCCTGAGTAGCTGGGATTACAGGCACCTGCCACCACCCCTGGCTAATTTTTTTGTATTTTTAGTAGAGACGGGGGTTTCACCATGTTGGTCAGGCTGGTCTTGAACTCCTGACCTCAGGTGATCCACCCACCTTGGCCTCCCAAAGTGCCAGGATTACAGGTGTGAGCCACCGCGCCTGGCCTAGCATACTTGTTTCTTCTATCCAGGTCTCTAATTTACTTTACTTTCTTTTTAAAGTGTATATTTAAGTAGCTTTGTTGAATTTTGTTGTGAATGACCTCATTTTTTCCAGCATTGGCTATCAATAATAACAACTAAAATAATAATAATGATTTAAAGTTGGTTTAAAACTTTCATTAGTAACTGATTATACAGAACATAGCAAGTAGGTATAGTGGAATAATCTCCTAGCATAAAGATTCCAAGACTGCTTCACAAATGGCTTTGGCTATAATTATATTTATGTTGTGGTATACAGTTTACAGCAAGAGCATAGTCCTTTAAGAACCTCTGTTTTCCAAGCAATTTTTAAATATTGAATAGAGATTTTGATTAATACCATACTTACATTAATTTGCTCACTGTACTTCTGTCCTACAGATCCAGGGTTTTGTCTTTTCTGCTCTAAAATATTTCTCCGCTTAGTTTCAGCAATTCGTTTTCTTCTCATAACAGTAGACCCTTAAACAAATGCCAGCACAATGTTAAAAATTATGCTAGTTGAGTAGCCAATATATACCCACTGCAAATTTTCAAGTTACTTTCAAATATCAAGAAAACTCTGTAAGTTTAATTCATTCAGTTAGCATGCTTTATTGAGCTCCTCTTATATGCTCTAAGCATGGCACAGTTAAAATGATGAATTCAACAAAATCCTTGCTTCTGAGGGATTTATAGTTTAGAGCAGTAACCTCCAGAGCATGACACAGAACACCAGAAGATTGTGTAAGATAATCCACTGGTGTGCTTCAAGAACATATTAGAATTCCAATTCATATTTATTATCTAAAAATTAGAAGTTAAATTTTACTCATGTAATATATGATTGACACTGGCACCCTGGTTATTTTGCAAGTAGATGCTCATGTAATGCATGAAGTAAACTCAGTTATCTTAAAAGAAGAGTTAAAATTCCAAGCGTGAGAGGTTGACAGTGGTGTCATCATTCATTAGCTCTCGTTAGCTTCCTGCAATGTACTAAAATTTATGTGTGCCCAGGTAAGTGAATTTATGCGTATCTTATAGTATCTTAACAAGCTCTCACAAAATAACAAAGTGGCTAAAATAACTTTTGTAGGGCTTCTACTATATCTTTGATATTTATTATTTAAGGTGAGTTGTAGTTACATGAATGTTTATTATATTATTTTTCTTTTCTTTTTTTTTTTTTTTTTTTTGAGACAGAGTCTTGCTCTGTCACCCAGGCTGGAGTGCAGTGGTGCGATCTCGGCTCACTGCAACCTCTGCCTCCCGGGATCAGGTGATTCTCCTGCCTCAGCCTCCTGAGTAGCTAGGGCTACAGGTGCATGCCACCATGCCAAGCTAATTTTTGTATTTTTAGTAGAGACGGGGTTTCACCATGTTGGCCAGGATGGTTTCGATCTCTTGACCTTGTGATCTGCCCGCCTCGTCCTCCCAAAGTGCTGGGATTACAGGTGTGAGCCACTGCACCCGGCCTTTTCTTTGCTTTTTAATGACTACTTAAAAACATATTCTTGCAAAATCACAGATCAAAATAATACTAATAATGCAAGGATAGGTAAACAACAGCAAGGCCAACCCATTTCTTTTTCTCAATTACAAACTCTTTGCCACATAATGACAATGACATAATTATACCTGTAACAAACTTGGTATCACAAATTCAAAAATTATCAAAAAATTATAACTATAACTTTTACACTAAATGTATATTGTGCTGTGAGATATTAGCTAGTGATATACAAATTTAAAATTTTACTTTAGCTTATCTTTAAAAAATTTCCGATTAAGGTTCTTAATGTATATATTAGTACAGTAATACATGTGTATGCCATGTATGTGTTCAAAATTTTTATTAATAGTAGTACAATAAAAAGTCTTGGAATCCATTTGTCTAGAAGAATGAATATAAATGAATTATTATAGTAAAATGCTTAACTTGTATGTATAGCTATAAGTGGAATTAAGTGAAAGCACAGAGGGTACAGTGACTTTGCAAGAATCAAGAAAAGTTTCACAAAGTTTGTCTGACCTTGGTCTTAAAAGAGTAGTTAACCTTCTGAGCCTGCTTAAAAAACAAAAAAGGTAGTAGTAGGTTACCAAATAAAAGGGCACTTTGAGTCAGAAAGAACATTATGTACAAAGATGTAAAGTAATGATGATGCATATTTAAGTTTCTTGGGACCAAGGGTGAAAATTCAATTGGTCTGGGGCATCGATATGCATATGTGTATAAGCACTTAAATGTCTTGAGAAATAATGGAAATGTGTGCATGCGCTTTATGATAAGAACCTTACAAAAAAGCCTTTACCTTTCAAGAAAGCTAGCCAGTAACTGCATACCTGACATTTGAGAGTATGAAATAATAACATAATACCAGCTAATATTTAATTAGCATTTATAATTTGGCAGGTATTGTTCTAAGGGCCATAGGCACTATTATCATCACTATTTTTACATATAAAGAAATTAAGATGAAAAAATACTCAACATCACTAATCATTAGACAAGTGCAAATCAAAACCACAATGAGATACCATTTCACACCAGCCCGAATGGCTATTACTAAAAAGCCAAAAATTAACATGCTGGTGAGGTTGTAAAGAAAAGGGAATACTTAAATGCTGCTGGTGGGAATCTAAATTAGTTCAGCCATTGTAGAAAGCAGTTTGGCGATTTCTCAAAGAACTTAAAACAGAAGTACCCATCAACCCAGAAATCCCATTATTGGGCATATACCTGAAGAAATGTAAATTGTTTTACCATAAAGACACGTGCATGTGTATGCTTATTGCAGTACTACTCACAACAGCAAAGACATGGAATCAACCTAAATGTCCATCAATGGTAGATTGGATAAAAATGTGGTACGTATACAACATGGAGTACTATGCAGCCATAAAAAAGATCATGTCCTTTGCAGCAACATGAATGGAGCTGGAGGCCATTATTCTAAGCAGACTAACACAAGAACATAAGGAAACCAAATACTGCATGTTCTCACTTATAAGTGGGAGCTAAACTTTGAGTACATATGGTCATAAAGAAGGGAACAACAGACACTGGGGCCTATTTCAGGGTGCAGGGTGGGAGGACAGTGAGGACTGGAAAACTACCTACCAGGTACTATGCTTACTTCCTGGGAGACAAAATAATCTGTACACCAAAACCTAGTGACATGCAATTTACCTATATAACAAACATGCACATATACTTCTGAACCGAAAATAAAAGTTAAGAAAAGAAACAACAACAAAAAAGAAATTAAGGCAGGAGGGAGGATAAGTAACTTGCCCAAGGTCACAGAGCCAGTAAGGGGCAAAGCTGGGATTCAGCTCCAATTAGTTGGGCTCTAAAATCTAAACTTCTAGCTCTTACACATATGCTAGTAATTTTCATTCTGATTGATTGTGTCTCACAGAAATAAATATATTTTGCATTGTGACCTTGGAGACATATGTAGTTTTATAAAATATATTTATCCTCACAACGTATGATACCGTCTGGTAGTTTCCATTCTAGAATATTCTAATTCTAAAATTAGACTTCATTTAAAAAATACTGGTTACCAGTCGTTGATTTCACAATTGACGAACGAGTCATGTCCCACAGTTTAAAAAGCACTGTATTATGCTTATTTCCACCTGTATCAATATGCTAAATGCTATATATGCAAAATGTTATAGTTTCCACCAAGATAATTTTGGCAGCAATACAGTTTCTATGTTGTTTTCTATTCTTGGAATTTTCTTCCTCTAAATCTTGAGAAGTCCTCATCTTTATCTAAAAAGCTTTAAACACCTTGCATAAAAATTTCCTTGTTCACTTAACTGCTGTGTCAGGGTTTTATCTCATCCCTCAGTTTGCTCATCAATTTTCTGAAGTCACTTTTGTACTTCTTGATTGCATTATTTATCTTTGTGCTTTATTGTTCTTTGTAGTTTTGTGGATTGTAGATTATTGATCGCAGTTAAAGACACAGTATATACTTAAAACTGTTTATGTATTTTTCTATTCACATACATGTGCTTAAATATTACCTAACAATTAATACAAAAGCTGAGAACCTTGCTATTTTTGCAAAAATAATGTAGCTTGCACTGGTATCTCTGGCCAAATTCCTAGTTTCATATGAAAATTCTAGATAGGATAGTTTCACTACCAAACTCAAAATAAAGCTACTAATCTTCAATAAAGCATTATATTTAAAAAAATCTGTAGTATTCTTAATCATAAACACATGAAAAAATACCGGAGACATTCTCAAAATTATAGTTTTGGAAAAAATCTTAGGAGCCACTACCTCATGGGGGCATCCTCTTCCTTTGCTGGATAGCTCAAATCCTTCCTTATGCTGAGCTGAAAACCTCTCTGCAATTTTTACCCTTTCATTTCAGTTCTGTTTACTCCTTCTTCTTTGTCATAAGCCTTCAAATATTTGTACATAGCTATCATATCTCTTAGGCTTGTGTTTCTTTAACTGACTTTTAGACTGAACCTCTCCTCTCATAGCCCCGGGGAATCCCAGTTTGTTTATAATTCCTTAAAATATATATTATAAAATGACACAGAGTATAGCAGTACTTCTAAAGATCTGCTTGTTACTGCCTAAAATTATTGTCCAAAATTATAGTGACCTTGTAACAGCTATGGTAAACCTTTTTTGCTTTGTGTGTGTGTGTGTGTTTAACAAAGAAGAGTTATCAAAACAGGTATCTGCCTTCTTAGAAGTGTAAAACTGATTTAAAAAAGACTAAATACATACCAGCAACCATAAAGGAACTGACCACATTGAGAAAAACTTTTAGTCATTAGAAAGAGTAAAAATACCAATCACAAATTGGCAGAAAATAATTATAACACATATAATCTATATTGGATCTGTATATACAATATGTAAAAAACTTCCATCAATAAGAAATTTAAAAAAATAGAAAAATAGGCAATGACAAGAGCAGACATTTCACAGGAGAATGCAAATGATGCATAAACATATAAAATGTTCAACTAATTAGTAATGAGGACAATATAAGTTATCATAATTAGAAACTTTTCAAGGAATACATTTGCATTTTTATTATATTCAGTTTCCAGACAAATAGGGCTAAAGTTTTTCTATGCCTTTTTATTAAAACCTAATTTATTGCTTTTTAAAAAAAATTTTAAGTTTTAGGATACATGTACAGGATGTGTAGGTTTGTTACACAGATAGATGTGTGCCATGGTGGTTTGCTGCACCTATCAACCCATCACCTAGGTATTAAGCCCCGGATGCATTAGCTATTTGTCCTGATGCTCTCCCCTCCCCACTCCAAGACTCTAGTGTGTGTTATTCCCCTCCCTGTGTCCACGTGTTCTCATTGTTCAGTTCCCATTTATAAGTGAGAACATGCGGTGTTTGATTTTCTGTTCCTGTGTTAGTTTGCTGAGGATAATGGCTTCAAGCTTCATCCATGTCCTTGCAAAGGACATGATCTCGTTCCTTTTTATGGCTGCATAGTATTCCATGGTGTATATGTACCACATAATTAGAAACCATTTTATACTGTATGACTGAAAAACATTAAAAAGTTTATCAGACTTTTAGTGAAGATGTAGTAAAGGGAAATTTCATATATTACTCTGGAAAACATTTTGGATTACCTAGTAAAGTTGAAAATACACATCCCATATGGCTCAGCAACATGTGCATCAGTAGATGTCCAAAGCTGTTCTTGGAAGAATTATTCATAAAAGGAGGAAACTAGAAGCAACCCAAATGTCCAGTGATAGGAGAATGAAAACATTGTTTGAACATTCATATAATTGAATGTGATTGCAGCAATGAATATGAAGTACAGCCAACCTAATCAATCTAAAAAACAAAGTTGATTGGAAAAGGCAAATCCCAGAAGAACACAGATAAAATAATTCCATTTATAGAAGTTTCATAAGTGGACAAAATGACATATCGTTTGCAATACATTCATACGTGGCAAAATTATAAAGAAAATCATGGAATAATTAACATGAAATTCTTTTTTTTTAGATGGAGTCTCACTCTGTCGCCCAGGCTGGAGTGCAATGGCGCAATCTCGGCTCACTATAACCTCCACTTCCCAGGTTCAGGTGATTCTCCCTCCTCAGCTTCCAGAGTAGCTGGGACTACAGGTGCGCGCCAGCACACCCGGCTAATTTTTGTATTTTTAGTAGAGACAGGGTTTCACTATGTTGGCCAGGCTGGTCTCGAACTCCTGACCTTGTGATCCGCCTGCCTCAGCCTCCCAAAGTGCTGGCATTACAGGTGTGAGCCACCACGCTGGGCTTAACATGAAATTCTTCATGGTGTTCATGTCTGTAACGGAGGAAGGGGATGCAATTGGGAAGAAGCATATGGGGCTCTGTAGGTATTGTTTTTTTTGAGACGGAGTCTCGCTCTGTCCCCCAGGCTGCAGTGCAGTGGCGCGATCTCGGCTCACTACAAGCTCCGCCTCCCAGGATCACACCATTCTCCTGCCTCAACCTCTCGAGTAGCTGGGACTACAGGCGCCCTCTACCACGCCCGGCTAATTTTTTGTATTTTTAATAGAGACAGAGTTTCACAGTGTTAGCCAGGATGGTCTCGATCTCCTGACCTCGTGATCCGCCCGCCTCGGCCCTCAAAGTGCTGGGATTACAGGCGTGACCCACCACGCCCGGCAATTTTTCTTTTCTTTCTTATTTTATTTCATTTTTTTTGGAGACTGGGTCTTGCTCTATTGCCCAGGCTGGAGTGCAGTGGCATGTTCTTGGCTCACTGCAACCTCCGCCTTGTGATTGAAGCGATTCTCCTGCCTCAGCCTCCCAAGTAGCTGGGATTACAGGCGCCCACCACCACGCCCAGCTAATTTTTAAATTTTTAGTAGAGACGGGGTTTCACCATGTTGGCCAGGCTGGTCTCAAACTCCTGGGCTCAAGTGATCCGCTTGCTTTGGCATCCCAAAGTGCTGGAATTACAGGCGTGAGCCACGGCACCTGGCCGCTATTGGTGATTTTCTATTTCTAAAAGTGAGCAGTGGGTACAGGGTTCTCTTATTATCAGTCTTAACTTGTTCTTATATGTCACATACATTCTTTTCTATGTCAGATATATTTCACAATTAAAACTTTAAAAAGTATGCCAGGCACCATGGCTCACAACTGTAACCGCAGCTTCTTGGGAGGCTGAGGCAGGAGGAGCTCTCAGCCCAGGAATTCAAGTTCAGCCTGGGCAACGCAGTGAGTCCCCACCTAAAAAAACAAACAAACAAAAACAACGCAACACCTCCCCCCGCCCAAACCTTAAACAGTAAACTGAATGCAAATAAATGTATGACTTTATAGCTATCTCTGCTAAACTGAACTTAACTGGTTTTGATTTGCCAGTTCAGTTAGCCAGGATGATTCTGAAGCTTGCTTCCAGCCTCGATTTCATTAGTAACTTCCTTTGATACTCTGTGCCATCCACAAACTGTATAGATCAATGTACTATTTTTTTTTTCATGTGTATTATGAAAAATCTGTTGTTATTCAGAGTTTTAAAAAAACAAAGTAAGGCTGGGCACGGTGGCTCACGCCTACAATCCCAGTACTTGGGAGGCCTAGGGAGGCGGAGCACCTGAGCCTGAGCTCAGGAGTTTGAGACCAGCCTGGGCAACATGGTGAGACTTCATCTCTACCAAAAATACAAAAAATTAGCCAGGCATGGTGGTGCGCACCTGTGGTCTCAGCTACTGAGGGGGCTGAGATGGGAGGATCGCTTGAGCCTGGGAGGCTGTTGCACCAAGATTGTGCCATCACACTCCAGCCCGGGTGACAGAGTGAGACCCTTGTCTCAGAAAAAAAATAAAATGAAGAAACAAAGTAGCTCAATAGTTAAGAACATAGAATCATAATGCCTTAATTTTGAGTATGCCACTTACACTAGCTATGCAATTTATACAGTCAATTATCCTCTGTGACCCAGTTTCCTCATCTATAAAATGGGCGTAAGAATATTATTTACCTCACAGATTTATTGTGAGAATTAACTTTGTTTCAATATTTAAAGTGCTTAAATAGTGATTGGAACATAATAAATGTTACCTAATTTTTGCCTAGGATATTTCCTCATTTATAAAATGGGACAGTTTAAAAGAAATTGTCACATTGGTCCTTTCTAGTAATCAAATTTTTGATTCTGTGAAGATATTCTTAATAATTATTGGAAAAGAAAAAAATATTCTTTTTGAAATCAGATTTAAATAATGTGTCAACATCATTTGGCTTAAAAAAAAAAAGGAAGTAGAATCTATGTATAGAAAAGTGCATGAATTGAGAATAAACAGATTATATACCCAAACCCAGATTTCACAGCCACTCATGTCAAGAAACTGAATATTACTAGCACCAAAAATGCTCCCCTCATTACCTGTTTCCATATACCCACCTGCCATAGTTTCACCTGTTCTTGATATAAATGGAGCAGAAAATGCATTTTTATTGTGCAATATGTTTCTTTTGCACAATATTATGGTGTGAGGTATACCCACACTGCTGCTTTTCAGCAATAGCTCATTTATATTATAGTATTTCATTAAATGAACAATGGAATTCAACTCTATATATTACACTATTGAAGAACATTTTGGGTTCTTTATATCTTCTGGATATAAGCCCTTTGTCAGTAATATGCATTGCAAATATTCTCCCACTCTGTGATTTGCCTTTTCAATCTGGTAATGGTTTTTTGGATGAAAATAGTCTCTAATTTTAATCTACAATTGATCAATCTTCTCCTTAGTGGTTTGTTCTTTTAAAGTATTGTGTAAGAAATTGCTGTCCATCCTAAATTATAAATGTATTACCTATATTAGCTTCCAAAATTTACTTTCCACATTTAGACCTGCAGTTCATCTGGAATTAATATTTGTGTATGTGGTAAGATAAGGATCATTTTTACTAATTCTATATATCCTATTGATGAATTATAAGATGAACTCTTTGTCCCTGCTATACAGTGCCACCTTTGCCAAAAATCAAGTGTTTAAATATGTAGGTCTGTTTCTGGACTCTCTATTTAATTGGTCTAAATATCCTGTAAAAATGCCATATTGTAATAATTACTTTAGCTTTAATAATATCTAGTAGTTTTATAACTTTGTCCTTCAAGATTATTGCATTTGTTCTTTGCCTTTGCATTTCCATATAAATATTAGACTCAGTTTCTCAATTTTCACAAAAATCCTATTGGAACTTTGATAGAGATTATACTACATTTACGGATTAGTTTGTGGAGAATTGCCTTCTTTTTAATACAGACTTTTCCAATCCATGAACATGGCATATCTTCCCCCTGCTCCGCTATTTCATAGATCTTCTTTAATTTTTTTTCCATACCCCTACCCCTGCCTCTTTTAAGTTCTCTCAACAGTGTTATAGCCTTCTGTGTAGAAGTCAAGCAAATCCTCTATTATACTTATTCCCATGAATTTACATTTCTAAATGTTATTTAAAAAGTATCATTGTTGGCTGGGTGTGGTGGCTCATGCCTGTATTCCTAGCACTTTGGGAGACTGAGGCAGGCAGATCGCTTGAGCTCGGGAGGCCAAGACCAGCCTGGGAAACAAGGTGAAACCCTGTCTCTGCAAAAAATATAAAAATTAGTCAGCCATGGTGGCATACACCTGTAGTCCCAGCTGCTTGTGGGGCTGAGGTGGGAGGATTGCTTGAGCACAGGAGGATGATGCTGCAGTGAGCCATGATAAAGCCACTGCACTCCAGCCTGGGTGACAGAGTGAGACCCTGTCTTAAAATAAAATAAAATAAAACAAAATAAGTCAAATAATTAACATTAAAAAATCTGTGTTAAATTTTCCAGGTATCCCCTTCTAAAATCCTAAAACATGTCCACTAAACCTATCAATTATTCAAATTTATTTTCAATTTCCCATTCACACCCAATTACATATTTAGGAATCATATCCTATTTCTAGGGTAAAATATATTGATATTCATTAGTAACAGACAACACTAAGTTCTTTCTCTGTTAGTGTCATTTTCCTACAAAATTTCTCTCAATTGACATCTTTTCCCTTAAGGTTTGTTTTTACCTTTATCTAAGCCCCTGGTGGGCTTATTCCTTAACAATCTTTGTTCCTTTTTAGATGAGAAAGCCCATAACTTATACTATGAGGAACTGATTTGCTCCTCTAGATATGGGCTCATATAGTTTAAGTGTTTCCAGGCATATTATTTCATTCAGGCTTTATAACTTTGAGCAATCCTTTTATTTATCATTGGTCAACAATTTTCTCCCAATCTCTCCCTCTCTTCACAAAGCTCACTCTTCCAATCCTGCTCATTTATTCTATCTAATCTCCTAATATTTTATTGACAAAATAGGGGCCATCTGAATGCCTTCATTTTTTCCTTCATCCACCTCCAAGCATCTCTTATTTCACTTAACTTATATATTTAAGTTTTATCTCAAAGGAAACAAGCATGAAGATATATAGAGTTGAGATAAATGGTGGAGCAGGATCTCATGGCAACAGAATTTTGGATCAAGAATATCAAAAGAGGAGTTACTTTTAAAAACTAAATCCATAAATGGTTTCTTCTATTTCATTCATATTTTAAACTTTTTCTTCCTACTAGATCATTGCTCTAAGTCTAATCTCCCGCTAAAAAAGTCTCATAGTTCTGTCTATTCAAGTTAATGTCATAGCTCTTACCCTTCATGGCTAAACTACTTGAAAAGAATGGCTTATACTCATTGACACTGCATCCTCCTTGTTGTGTATTAAATTGTTTTATTTAAAAATATTTTTAGCATAGTAAAGAACATATATTGTACAAATATAATTGAAAATCTCTGTGTGTCAAAGTTGCTGCATACTATATAAAATAAATGGTGCTATCTGGAGTTGTGCAACTATTTGTGGCAGCCCTGTATGTAGCCCTCCTAGAGCCTATTCACCTTCTTCTCTCCCCAGAGGTAGTCACTATTCCGAGTTTGATGTTTGTCATTACCATTTCTGCTATACTTTTGTTACCCACAGATGTATCCATTAGCCATAATATTGTTTTACATATTTTAAATTTTTATATAAGTTTATTAATGTATTCTAACTACAACTTTTCCTCCCATTTTGGATATTTATTCCCATTGATGTAGGTTTGAGAAAAATGAGCAGTGAAAGTATCTGATGAGGAAAGGGAAGTAGGGAAATCAGATATTTGGGGAGGATGTTTGAAATAATTATTTCTAAGGAAAGACAGTGAATTTACGAGATAAACAGTAGGAATACTCAGTAATGTTGATCATCAGAAAATGTTTCATAAATCTACAGTATAGCCAATATGCCTGGCACATTGGTATGAATTTTCTCTGCTACTTAGAAGAAGGCAGAGAAAAAGCAAATAATTTTTTCCCCCTGGGCGGGGAAGGGCTGTTTGATTCTTGTGACAAAAAAGACCAAGAGGCAAAGAGTTTAGGATATTGGTAAAAGAACTATTGAAATGATGAACCTGGCCAGGCACGGTGGCTCATGCCTATAATCCTAGCACTTTGGGAGACTGAGTGGGAAGATGGCTTGAGCCCAGGAGTTCAAGACCAGCCTGGGTAACACAGGGAGACCCTGTCTCTATATAAAAAAATTAGTTGGGCATGGTGGTGTGTGCCTGTAGTGCCTGAAAGGTTGAGATGGGAGCATTGCTTGAGTCCAGGAGTCCCAGGCTGCACTGAGCCATGATCACGCCACTGCGCCCTAGCCTGGTCAACAAAGTGAGACCCCATCTCAAAAAAAAAAAAAAAAAAAAAGAAAGAAAGAGATGATGAATTGGAATGAGAAAGTAGAGAAAATACTGGACTAAAGAAGCCCAGTAGGGTAGAAGAATGGTAGGAGTAAGAGTAGGGAAAAGAGAGGAGAATGTGCTTAAGTAGAGGAGTGAGTGAGTTTGCTTACTACCTGGGTAATAGGATCCATACCCCAAACCTTAGCATCATGCAATATCCCCATGTAACAAACATCCACATGTACCCTCTATATCTAAAATAAAAGCTGAAATAAAGAAAAGAAGTAGAGGAGTTATGAATGTTGATGAGGTCCAGAATATAACAAAGGGAAAGGGTATTTGAGGCAGAATTGTATAGAAAGTTATTAGAGATGAAAAAGGAGTGAGAGGGATCAGGATGTTTGCTCATCCATATAAAAGCTGAACTATCCAATATGATGGCAAAGACTCTGTATGGAAATGAAGACTGTGAACCAAATATCAAAGTCATCTTTTAGGGGGGAAATAACTGGAGACATCAGGAGGTGGTATAGTCGAATGGCTTGGATCTAATTGGAAGAGTTTTTCCTAGAGAGTTATGCTAGAGTGTTCTGGAAATGCTAATTGAGAACAAGATGCTCTCCACAATCGTCAACTCTGGATGCATAAGGGTATAAAAATAAAATGAACTGCAAATAAGAGAGTAGGAAAAAAAATCCCACAAATGCTCACTGAACTGTAATCCAGTATTAACAAAGAGTTCACTTGAAGCATTTTATATTTAAACAGTTTTGGAAAAAAAAGCTTAAATGACTGAACATACAAAATATTCAGTATTGTTAGTACTGTTATATTTTCTAAGTATAATCGCTGTATTAATAGGTATAGATATTTACAACAGTGTGAATATTTAAGAACATTTAAGAATGTTAAAATTCATTACATTTTCCAATGTCCCTTATACGAATGTCCCAGAGAGAACTACCTCCTTTGACTAAATGTCAGGAAAATATTGGTTTCTCCAGATAAAATGTATCCCATTCCTTTATCAGAGAATCAGATAATTTTAATATGTTACCCTTTTGTACATAAGCTATTGGGAAACTATAAGTTTCCTAATATTTTTCCTAATTAGCAGAGTGTGATATATGATATTTGCTTTATCACTATATTTACTATATGATTTTAGTAGAAAAAGCACAGGACTTGGAACCATAGAGATCTGGATCAAAATACCAATTCTGCTATTTACTAGCTCTTGACCTTGGATAATTCTGCTTACTTCTTTGCAAAACAGTGTCTTAAAAATATTTATTTCTCAGCATTATTACAAGGTTTAAATGAGACAGTAAGTATAAAACAGTACTGTGACTGGTACAAGCTACAAACTCAAAAAGGGTAACTATCATTATTTATTTTAGAATATTTAATCTGTACGATACCTTCATTTTTTTGAAGTGTTGTGAAAGCTAAAGTTACATTCTGAAATGACTGGATAAAAAAATCATAATTTTAGTGAGAGAAACAATTTTTTAAAATCTAGATTTTTGTAGACAAGTAATGAAGATTTTTAGATTATAGTGTCTGCATTTAGCTTCCCTTCTGCTAATGTGGCTTCTATCCATTCAATTCAAGTAGAGTCTGGGTGATTACTAAGTGCCAGGCACTGTTAGGATCTGGGGATACTGTGATGAATTACACAAATGTCCCTTGGCCTTAAAAACTCATGGTTTAATTGAAGATGACTTTGAATATTAAATTTTAAACTCTCATTATATATCAATATTTATTCATACCTTTGGAAAAACAAGAGTTGTTTTTCTGATTGCCTCCAGACTCCAGTCCTAACTATTTCTCAATAGGCAACTGTTTCCTATTGGCAGGAAAATATATTGCTTTCTAGTTTATTCCTTCATAGAAGGAAAGAAGTTTTATGAGAGTCGACCAGCTAGTAAGGGCAATGGCATTCTATAGAGAATTAATTTTCAAAAATATTTCAAGACAATGATATCATTTTTTTGCTCTCACAAAAACCAATAGTCATAGCAGATAAAAGCAGAGCTACCACACTTTGGGAAAGAGAATGGGAGAATTAGGTATATCTAATTAATATTAGTTTATAGCAACTCAATTTAACAAAAGTTTTAAAGAAAAATAAATATAACTACATGTATTCACTTGTTTATAATAATTTAAACAATATTTTTCACTGTGCTTACTTTGTTGGAAAATTTGACTACAATAGTAATGACAGAATAATATGGGACAAGAATCAGATCCTATTCCTTGTCCTTCCTCTTAAACTAACAGGAAAAGTCATGGAAAAAAATGGAGGCTGGCAAAAGTTTCTAATTTCAGTTGAGCACTGGTTGGGTCATTCTCTTAAAAGGATTCAGCTACTAACGTCACAATGTTGTTGTTGTTTTTTTTTTTTAGATAGAGTCTGGCTCTGTTGCCCAGGCTGGAGTGCAGTGGTGCACCACCTTGGCTCACTGAAACCTCCTCCTCCTGGGCTCTGGGTTCAAGCAATTCTCCTGCCTCCTCCCAGGCAGCAGGGATTACAGGCACGCGCCACCATGCCCGGCTAATTTTTGTATTTTTGTAGAGACAGGGTTTCGTCACGTTGGCCAGGCTGGTCTCGAACTTCCAACTTCAAGTAAATCCGCGTGCCTTGGCCTCCCAAAGTGCTGGGATTACAGCCATGAGCCACCGTGCCTGGCCAAAAATCACAATATTACAGGAGGTAAGTTACTTCTTTCTTTTTTTTTTTCAGACAGAGTCTTGCTCTGTCATCAGGCTGGAGTGCAGTGACATGATCTCGGCTCACTGCAACCTCTACCTCCCAGGTTCAAGCAATTCTTCTTCCTTAGCCTCCCGAGTAGCTGGGACTATAGGCACGCACCACCATGCCGGGCTAACTTTTCTATTAGTAGAGATGGGATTTCGCTATGTTAGCCAGGCTGGTCTTGAACTCCTGGCCTCAAGTGATCCGCCCGCCTGGGCCTCCCAAAGTGCTGGGATTACAGGTGTAAGCCACTGTGCTTGGCCTGGAGGTAAGTTATTTCTATAAAGCTATTGTTTAATATTAATATTTATGTAGTATGTATGGCCATACATAAATAGGAACAATTTCACATGACTTTAACAAAGGTGTACATTTTATCTATAAAAAGCTATAAATTTATTCTTACCTGTAGCCCTCTTATTTTGATGCAGGACATTAGGACCTCTTTTCCATAAGGGAACTGATTCTTCTTCAGCAGTTCTTAGAGTCACAGACGGATAACTTTCTTCACAAACAGGACTTCTTTGGGTGCAATATAATGTCGCATCTTGCCGGGCAACTGCTTGAGTGCCATTTGAATGATTTATTTTTGCGAAAGTTTGGCACTCTGAAGAACAATATGATGGCAGTGATGGTATCACAGTGACTAGGTCAGAACAAGCATTTGAGAGTGGAGAACTACTTTCCTGATTCCACTGATTCAAACTGTGTTCTGTTGGAAGCACATGTTTTGAATTAAAAGAGTTATGTGTAATAATGTTTTGAGGATTTTCAGGAGTTACTGGTTGACACTGAGACACTTGTATATTTTTACCACTTCTAATATTTGATGTAGATTGAGGAGGAGGACAAGGTATAATTAATTTTCCCTGAGCTTGTGTAAATATGTTGACTTTGCTTGCAGACTGTGGTTGAATGACAGCGCCTTTTCTGTTTGTACATATAAAGCCTGATTGGACTTTTGCAGATCCTGGTTTTCTAATTATTTTTGCTCTACCTCTTTGTGGCTTACCTTGCTTAGTTTTAGAATCATCATGTACAGGGATTTTACTTTCTTCTTTTTTTGAGGCTGGCCAGGCATGTTTAGCAAAGTTATAACCTGAAGGTATAAAACAGTTCAAAGGCATATGGTCTGCTCCAGATCCTCCTAAAGTCGTAACATTTTCAGAGATAGAATCCTCCCTGGACTTCTTTGTATCAGCAGAATTTACAGCACAAGTAGAAACACTAATTATGTTGCTTCCAGCACCACTTTGAATGTGGAATTGTTGAGAATGCTGTTGAGTTGTTCCTGTTTTATTCTTCAGTGAATGACTGTTTTCAGCATTGTTTTCTATATTGCTAGTTTCATCAAACCACCTCAGTTTTTTAATGGTCTTTGGAATTTCTGCACCTTTTTCCTTTGTTAATTCAATACTATCTCTGATAGCTGCTGCTTTTTGATTTCCAAACTTAAAGCTCTGATTTATAATTAATGCCTTAAGATAACCATGTTCATATTTAGATTCTTTCTTTAAAATACTTTTAAGAAATCTCACACCATTTCTCTCATGGATGTTGTATTTCATTTTCTTATGCTGGCCAACAAAGTCATAATTAGAAGTTACATTAGACAAGGATGATGTTTCAGCTAATTTTTGTTTTTCATCTTTTGAATCAGGATTGTGAGGTATATAGGCATCTTGAAAACTGTCTGAAAATAAAGGCAACTCTTCCTTATTGCAATTAAAATATTTTATCTCTTCTTCTTTACCATCTTTCAATTCATCTAACTTATCAGAACACTGCACTGCATCAATTTCTTTTATGTGTATACTGTTCTTTGCTGAAGGTCTAGCTGACTGTATATTAGATGGCAAAACTAAAGGCGTTGCCACTGGTACACATGAAGTAGGAATTGAAGTAGTTCCATTTTCTTGATTTAATTCAGAATATTTCTCTTGGTCTGGAAATGTAGCCACTTCCTGGGTTAGAGAATCTGAAGTGCTTTGGGATTTGCTAAATTTAAATGTTGGGCTCTCAGTAACTAATGGTCTCTCTCTTTTGAATGCTCCAGAAGTGGAGTCAGTTGTCCTCATAGTGCTAGTTTCAGAGGTCTTTTCACATTTTTTATCTAGTACAAACATGGGTGGGCTAGATACAAAGGGTACTGAATTATTAGCAGTATTTGTGGCTCTTTCCACTGTTCCATTCAAAGGAGATGGATTTTGTTCTTTACTATTAAAATATTCCCATGAAGGCAGAACATTAGATTTACTTAAAATATCTGAGAAAGCTGTGACATTCTGAGTATTTGAAGCATCTAAATTTGTAAGCCAATTATTTATATGTTGAGTTTTAGAGAATGCCAGTTTATCTTCATCAAAGCAGCTGAGATTAGTTGATTGCATATTTGCTGGTTTGAGGGAAATGGTATTCCGCTGGATGGATGTGGAATGCTCCTTATTAAGTGTTAAATATATTTCTTCATGCTCTGTAGCCTCAAGACTGTCTATACTTGAGAGGGTTTCAGAATTGGTTATCTGATTAACTTCATCACAAAATTTCTGGAAAAAAAAAGAACATTGTTTTATAGCTTATAAACTTTTAAATGCCAAGATTAACGATTCAACATACCATTGTTACTGAGCCCAATTCTCCTTGCATATAGAGTAGTATGACTATAAACATCATAGGTATATAAATAATTCTTATCCCTGCAGCAATCCTCAAGGTAAAAAATTGGGAGGTAACAAAGACTTATAGTATAGTATGCTTGCTTTGATTTCAACTCCTAAAGTAATACCTGCTTATTCTAGCCACAGTTAGAACTTAAAAAAAATTTTTGTTATTGCTATTCCATTTAGAGTATGAAGTTTCTTGAAGGCTTAGTAATAGAAAGTGAGATTCTGAAAAATAATTATTTATAAATTGTATTTTTTTCCTAAAACATTCACTGGACTTGAATGAGGCTCCTAAAAGCTCTGTGATCCTAATGTGAGTTTCCTGTTAGTAGGGGCTACATCTTTTTATAAAACTTAATTTTGTGGACTGTAGTAAGGCTGTTAACTCTGGCTACATGTTAAAATCACATAAAGAACTGTGTAAAATATCTATACCTGGGTCCTGCTGATTTAATACTTGGATGGGGTCCATATACTGGTATTATTTAAATTCCCCAGGTAATTTTCATATGGGTTTAGGCTCAAAAACTATTGACTTTAATGACTCCTTTTGGAGGTTTAGCATAGTAGTAATTTCCATAAATTCCATAGACATTTACATCACTATTTCACTGAAATTTACATGAAATTTGTCAGTCTTTAATAATATTTCAAAATTACTTCAATGTATGGTAAATGTTTAAAAATATTTCTGTTTTCTCACACATACCTAGCATGCATTAATCTACATCACATATATAGAAATAAATTTTAAGAAGACATTAAATTGTATATCTAGTCAAAATGCTGAATGGAAAGAAAATTGATATCCCTTAAGATTTATCATACATTTTAGATTTATCTAAAATATGTAAATTTTAAAAATTTACATACTATGGTATTAGACAAAAGTACTTTCTTTTTCTATCCCAGTAAGTAAACTAAGAAATAAAGTAAATAAATTACAGAATAAAAATATTTTAATTTATATAGTTAGTTCTTATTGATTTAGTATTGTGGAATAAGTTTTAAAAATTATTCATGAGAGTTTTATATTTTTAGCATTTAGTCCCTATTTATCACATCCTTTGGCATACTTCTTAAAGTGATAATCACTCAACCCAAACAGGGAACAAAACAAAGCATAGCTACTTCAATGCCTGTTCTTGGAAATAAGTTGTTTTAACTGATAATGATGATGAAATCAGGCCTGGAAGGCATCCTTTGAGGTTACATCTAGTGAGACACAGAAATTTGCGTTAGAAGATCCTTCTAGATATAAGTATGACATCCATGGCTCTAAGATTTCCATTTGCATAGGTCTGTAATTGCTTCATCTCCCAAATCACCTCAGAAGAAGTTTGGCAACTTCTGATTTCATAAACAATACTTTTTTTTTCTTCAGATTTTTTCCCACCACTAAATAATGAAACATTATGATCAATTTCAAGTTTTGCTTATAAGTTACATTTAGCGGTCCGTCTTATCTTTATTGCCCTGCATGTAACATATCTTTTTTCCCTCTGGCTTTAATCTGATTTTTAGGTGCCTTTCTGTGGTATGTGTGTGTGCATACACTTATCCTTCTTGGAGTTTGTTGGGCTTCTTGAGTCTGTGGATTTATAATTTTCATCAAATTTGAAACATTTCCAGCGATGGTTTCTTTAAACATTTCCATTCCTACTTTGTGAAATTTTATTTAAATTTTATTTTTAATTAAATGTGTTGATGGCTTTATATGGTCTCACAGGTCACTAACAAACTGTTCATTTTTTTCCAGCCTTTTTCTCCCAAAGCTTCAGCTTGGATAATTTCTATTGCTATGTTTTCAAGTCCACTAATCTTTTGTTCTGCAATGACTGCAATGTTAAGTCCATCCAGTCAATTTTTCATTTCTGATAGTATGTTTTTCAGAACTAGAAGGTCTGTTTATTTCTTTTTTCAATTGTCTTTCTTATGTACATTTTTACTTTAATTCCTTGAAAATATTTGTAAAAATACGTTAAAATTCCTTGTTGGTTAATTCCATCATCTCTGTTATTTCTGTCTGATTATATTGACTACTCTTCTCCTGGTTATGCGTCATATATTCCTGATTCTTCACATGTCTAGTAAGTTTTGATTGAATGCTGACATTGTGAGCATTATGTTATTGAGTATTTAGATTTCATAGTCTTCTTTAAGAAAGTGTTGGCCAGGCATGGTGGCTCATGCCTGTAATCCCAGCATTTTGGGAGGCTGAGGCGGGCGGATCATGGGGTCAAGAGATGGAGACCATCTGGCCAACATGGTAAAACCTCGTCTCTACTAAAAGTACAAAAATTAGCTGGGCGTGGTGGCGGGCACCTGTAGTCCCAGCTACTCGGGAGGTGAGGCAGGAGAACTGCTTGAACCTGGGAGGCGGAGGTTGCAGTGAGCCGAGATTGCACCACTGTACTCCAGCCTGGTGACAGAGTGAGACTCCATCTCAAAAAAAAGAAAGAAAAAAAAAGGAAAAAAGAAAAAAGTGTTAAGTTTTTTTGTTTAATAGGTAGCTTGGGTTACTAGTGGATCTTTTTAAGGCTTATTCAGGCAACATAACTACGTAGAAAGCCTAGGTTATAAGGCTTACATCATTTCTTTCCCCTTTTCAAGATCACATCCTGCACTGCCTCTGACCCATGTCTACAAGCAGTTGTTTTATTTATTTTGTTCATAATTATAGTTGTTTATGGTAGGAAGGCACATCACGATAGCTGCCAGGAATCTTCTGTTTTGCTTTCTTAGCCTTGCCACTGTTGATTAATTGTTGGATGAATCAGGCCAATGTTATGAATTTAATCTTATATTGGTTTATTAAAAATCTCATAAATGTGCATAATTATTAATGAAAAATAAAGTACATGGATGGACATGTAGGAAAATCAGCTGATATCTGTATTCAGTTGTGGAAAAAATAAAGTATATGCCCTACTAGGGATAGATTACAAACATCATTTCTAGCAAATTCTGCCATATTTCCATTAAGAAACTAATATCTACATGTATTATAATTTTCTGGTTGCTTTTTATAATACAATCTCTAACAATAATACATTACATTGTACTTTCAAAGGTAAGGAAAAAACTAAAAAATTATTTCTATAGTTTCTATGATGAATTTGTGCTGATTCATCCACACTGTCTTTCATGGCCTGCTCTCAGCTAGTAAGATATTTCTTTAGTGGAGAACACTGCAAAAGTGGAGCAAAATTAGTGCAAGGAATTAAAATATTAACAACATTTTTATAGTTTCATACTTGCAAATTGCTTAGATGTTGATCTTCGAGGAGTTTCTGAGTTTCCTCCAGTTTAAGCTGGAACACATTTTTGCTAGTAGCCAAGGTTGCCCTCATGTTTTCATTCATTTCTTTCTCACAATTGATTTTGGATAAGAGTTGTTTCTGATGCTTGTGATCATTTTTTGATAATGCGGAAGGCAAGGCAGAATCTATAGCTCTGTGAACCAGACATAAAAAGTGCTTAGTACATTTAAATAAAGTTAACTTCTTTCTATATGTATATACATGACACATTAGGTGTAATACGTGTGTGTTTGTCCAGATAACCACATATAAGGATATTGGAGAAATATATAGACATGTTAGAATGAGAATTTAAGGCAATCAATAGTAGAATAAAAGTAGTTGTGAGACTAAAGTACCAGTAAAGAACTCCACCTTCATATAGGAATGCCCAGTAATTCATGGCTTTGATTATTATAACCTATCCCTCTATAATCTGGGATAAGGGTAGAAGTAATTCCTGTGTAGAGTCAGTCCTCAGGTCTTTAAGAGCATTCCTATATGGATAATAATATACTGCATTACCCTTCTTTCTGAGTTGATGTCATGGCTAGTAGGTTAGGAAAAAACTGTAACCCTAATAGTGTTGGTTGAAGATTCAAGCAGATAGAAAATATAAAAATTGCTTGTCAGGGTCAGCAGGAATTTCCTCCCTATTTAACTAGCATTGGGAACTTGGATCGTCCTCAATGGAGGCCAAGTACTCACTTATTTTCAGTTATTTCAGGAATATAAACAGGAATATAAGCATGGTTTTTATGCCACAGAAGCGTACCCTTAATATAGAGTCTACCTTTACTATGCTAAAGGGCCATCCAAACATTTTCAGTGCATGACATCATTTTCTATTAGAATTTTGTATCTTCTGCAAATCTATAGCATGTTAGATTTCAGCACATATACAAAGTGAAAGCAAAGAACTAAAGAAGAGTTTTGGGGGAGGATAGGATGGGGATGAGACTACCATATAGCTGAATGCTGCTGCACTGGGGCTGGCAGTGTGAATCCAAAGAGCATTTATTCCTAATTCAATTAAATTATTCCCACTTTAATGAGAATAAAAATGTTTTGGAAGGTGATAGTGGCCACATGTGATATATACCTATTCCCTATCTCCAATATCCATATATATATCTTTATTTGGACAGACTGGAGTAGTCAAGGTCAATGATTACTAGATTAACTATCCCTTTGTGATCACACATTTAATCAGGGAGAGCAAGAAGGTATTTAATACAAGTTCCTGAACATTGAGAGTATGTTTCTGTCTCTTCCTTTTACACTTTCCTACTCTTAGATAATCCTTCCCCTTCAGTCGCCCTTCCCAAACAAAATATTGCTATATCTACAAAATATCTAATAAACTCAATTTATTTACCTTTAAAGTTGTCGTGTCTCAACTTTCTTCTCTATTCCTTTCTTCTCTACTCCACTTTCTTCTCTTCTCTTCTCTACTTTCTTCCCCCAATGAGGAGGATTGAAGGGGTGGATAGGAATAAAAGGAGATGGGGAGGTAGAAACAGAAGGAGAGTGAAGAATAGGGGGAAAGGAAGAGGAAATCATAAAGGAAGAAGAAACAGGAGAAACTGGAGAGGGAAAAGCTAAATAAGTTGGAGGCAAACCTGGAGAGGAAGATGAATGCAAAGGAGAGGAAAAAAGAGGGATAGATGAAGGAGGTAAGGATGGAGAAGTAGAACAGGAAGTCGAAGAAGAGGAAAGAATAGATGAGGAGGAAGAAAACAGTATACAGGCTGAAGAAAAGGATGTGGAAGTAGAAGGAGATGAAGGCAAAGAAGAAGATGGAGAATGACAGGGAGATGCAAGGGAGAGAACTGAGGCTGGTGGATGATCTGCAAAGGCCTCGGGCTGATTTGACAATGCTGTGGCTTGTGGAACAGATTGCTGGACTGACTGAAAAGGATCCAAGCTAGCAGGATGTGCAGGCAACGGAGTGACATAAGAAAGAGTGGGGACTGGTGGATAAGGGGGGTGACTGGATAAACAGGAAGGCTTCAAAACAGGGAGAGGTTCCAAAGGGGTTGGGGAAACAACCAGTGGAGCTGGAAGGGAACGACGAACAAGGGTAGGCATTAGAGTGGCTGCAGTAGAATGCTGTGCTGGAAGGAAATGTTTGGGTCTGAAAGTTTTGTAAAATAACTTGTGCTGTGACTCAGGGTCAGGAATGATTGGAGAACTCTGGGGTGCGTGGGGTGGATGGCCAGGTGGGCAAGAAGGAATTGGTGCTGGTAGACGAGGGAAACTGCTAGAAATGCTGGAAGTAGCCGGGGTTGGAGGACAAGGATGATATTTAATTGGGTAAGGCAGTAATGGGACTGGTGCAAAGGTCTTTGGAAGAGTAGAGGGTACAGATGGATGGATAGGCAGTATATGGGGCTGGCGGGCAGGAGAAACAGTTGGGTAGCTAGGAAGAATTTGGAAGTGGTGGGACCGCAATGGGACCCGTGGAGGAGACAGTTGATCAGGTAAGTAGGGGTCAGGTGTGGAGACAGCTGGACAGGCAGGAATGGATCTGCACAGGTGGAAAAGCATTTGGACAGGCAGGCAGAGAGACAGCCTTATTAAGATTATTTTTTTTGGTTTATTGGGCTGCCTCTAGGCTTTTGATTCATGTTATTTTCTTGTCCATAGGGTCCATGTATGATCATCCTTTGATCAACCAGTGTCCTCTCACATGTACTGAAAAACGTACATAGCTTATTCAGGTTCGCCATTTCTTATTTCTTGCTCTTAGAGTATTTTCACTTCTCAGAAGCCTTTTACTCACACAGATACAGGAATATGGGCTGGACAATCTGGTTTAAAGCATGAGTTCAAAGGGCAAATAGAGGTCAATAGATAACTGCTCAGCTCTGGCCAGATTTCTCAGTGTAGCACGTAGTTCAGGATCAACTGCCACACTACAGATACATGGATATTGGAGATAGATATCTAGCAGTATCATTTTATTAAAGTTTAACCATTTAATATGGGAGACAATATATCCCCTTTTACTTTACACCTTCCAGAATGGTCAAGCATATTAGCTTTATGATAAGGATTTGATGGTGACAGAAGACTAATTACTTCTTATATTTTTAACTTTACTCCCTTATTAATATTCTTATATCTCACTATTTGCTGAAGCAGCTTCTATGTTCATGAGAATATATTCTCTGATTTATCTTAGGGCTTAAGCACTAAATGCCCTGCACTTTATCATATATTTTTTTTCTCTTTTACATGATCAGATTGCCAACATCTTATTTTTATCTACCACTAACATTTTCCACATTAGAATAATCTTACTGATATACCTCTGCTTCTTTGTAAGCCCCTTATTTCTTGGCATTACTTTATTTCTTAACACATTTAGGTTTACATTCCACTGAAAATGTATTTTTAATGTGATAGTAGTTTATCAATGGTTTCAGCTTAATTACATTTTCAATAAATAAAAATATGTCCATTAACCTAACACCTGATTCTTAATATTCCAATATCTCATATTTATATAGAATTTCAAATTTTACAAAGCACTTTCATATACATTACTTAAGATTATTGGTTATCTGTGGAGAGAAGTCTAACTTTTTAATAAGTAAATCATAGTGTTCTCACTATACATTGTATACACTTGTTGTTTTCCAAATACATAGAATTTATGTGATATATATATGTATATATAAACATACACACACAGATAGATATAGATATCATGAAGTCAAAGTCAAAATAGTATGTTAAAATAACATGAAAACTAACTAGGTATTCTAATGCACAATGAAGATCATTTCTATAAAACAAAGATGATGTGTGTTATTTAATGATCCTAGCATAGACTTGCTGTAATCATATATACATGTTTGCTGCAGGGAAAGCAAAGTTGTTCTGACAGTTTAACTCTTCTAAGACTTCAAGCAACTGCACACTGTTGAACAAGAAAAACGCCTATGCTTTTCTTCATTCTACAAGAGTTTTTAAAAATTGAAAATATCTGTCTGGGCATGGTGGCTCATGCCTGTATTCCCAGCACTTTGGGAGGCCGAGGCGGGTGGATCACGAGGTCAAGAAATCGAGACCCTCCTGGCCAAAATGGTGAAACCCAGTCTCTACTAAAAATACAAAAATTAGCTGGGTGTGGTGGTACGTTCCTGTAATCCCAGCTACTTGGGAGGCTGAGGCAGGAGAATTGCTTGAACCCGGGAGGTGGAGGTTGCAGTGAGCCGAGATTGCACCACTGCACTCCAGCCTGGAGACAGAGTGAGACTGTCTCAAAACAAACAAACAAACAAACAAACAAAAAAGGAAAATAATTCAATTAACATAAAGTATAACAACTGATAGAAAAAAAAAACCTGAAAGTGAAGAAGCCCTGTATAGAAAATGTACATTGCTTCTACATTAACTGGTTTAGAATTTTTAAAATTAGTCTAAATAAATCCCGGGACTCCCTCTAATTGTTTGTCATCTCTTTTCAGACAAGCTTTCCTATAGAGTACTCTAAAATTATATTGACACATATAATATGGTAGTAAATTATATTACTACCACAACTTCCACTTGTCTCTTAACCCAACTGTTATCTGGCTTCCACCTCTATCACTTCAATGTACTACTTTGCTTGTGGTTAACTAATTACCTAGTAATTGCAAAAATAGGTATTTCTTGACCACTATCTTTCTTGATTTTAATTCCCTTGGTTTCCGCATCATCACATTTCCCATTTATTTTCTTACTTCTCTGGTTGTTCCTTCTCAGGCTCTTTCTTGAGCTCCTCTTTCTTTGCCTGTCCTTTATATGCTAAAATTTTTGAGTTATGTGGCTTTCTTTTTTTCTTATCTATATCCATACTTTCTTTGTAATCTTACTTATACTGTCTATGTGACCTTATCTATATTAGTGTGTGAGTAAAGGGTTAACAAAATCTTCTCCTTCTCTATGGACCAATTCAACTTTGAGTTAACTTTCTAAGTCTATTTCTCTGGATAATTAGTAGGATTTAAGCTGTGTTACAAGGCACATTGATTATGGTAAAAATGGCCCTTCATTGGTAAACCACATCTGGACTAAGAGGACTGCAAAGAAACCACAGGTATCTGCTAGAAAGCTATAGTTTTGAGTTTCCTCGAGTATGATAATTCTTATTACTGGACATATCTCTTCCATGGGAGAAATTCATATGGAGCCATTACAAAAACATTTGTTCCTGTTTAGAACATGGGGCGTCTTATCCAGAATAGGTAGATGCCTACCCATTGTGATAATGTAAGCATTATAAGCCTTAAAGCTGAGCTGTCACTTGTAGAGGGTAGAAACATAGCAAAAACTAGCCCCTCAACTGTCTTGTGGCCTTCTATAAGGATTCCTCCTATTGAAGAATGTTACCTAGTTGGCATGCACTGTTTTCTGGTCTCTAATTGAAGCCAAACAGCCTGGTACAGTTAAGGGAGTTTGATTGTTTAGCTGAATCTAAGAATACCACTGGCAGATACTGCCATGACTTTAACTTTATTCATTCATTGATGACTGTCATGTCTACATTCATGGCCCAGATTTCTTACTATAAGAAATTGGCTCTTGAATATCTCATAAGTGTCTCAAACTCAAACATGTCATTCTCCTTCCAATTACTTCCTCCCCTAAACCTATCTATTCTTCCCTCATATTCATCATTTTTGTTTTTTACTAAGGTAAGAACACTTAACATGAGATCTACCCTCTTAACCTCGTAGTCCTCATTTTGATAAATGGTTTTACCACTTTTTCACTGACCAAATCTAATCTCTGGAGTCATCTTTGATTCTTCCCAATCACTCCAGGTCTTAAACAGTTACCAAAGCATATTGATTGTACCTTCTAAATAGCTTTCAAGAAGTCATTGTTTTCATCAACTAAAGTGCCATTTTACCTGATTTTACTGCTTTCAGTGTTCTCCTTTTCTTTTCCATTCTGGCAATATTTCCAACCTATAAATATTGTGTTTGCTTCGAATCTTTCAGTAATTGTTTTTAAAACAAACTCCTTACCGAGGCTCTTCATGATCTAACTCACGGCTTCTTTTCCAACCTATCTGCCCACAACTCTCTTCTCACTGTACACATTAGCCAAATTGTGCTACTTGTAGCTCCCTTAACACAACATGCCTTTTATGATTCTATGCCTTCTCACATGCTAATATTCCTTCTGGTTGAAATTTCCTCCCAGTGTTTGTCTCAGATAAATACCCTCCTCATCTATCTAACTTCGGGCCACTTTTATACACTTTGAGAAGTGTTCACTCATGTCAGTGATATTTTTCCATTCAAGGTATTTATTGAATACCTCCAACATGAGTACTGAATTAAGCACTATAGGGAATACCTGCATATGTAAGACTGAGACACTGTCCTTTAGAATATTACAATCTGGTTGTGGGGACAAAAGTACACATGAAAATTAAGCAACAATATATACAATCATAACTTTCAAATCTATTTCTAGAGCCTTGGCCTCTCACCTCATCTTTGGTTAAATTATTTTTACACATTTCTACATGGATATTTATCCCCTCAATTCAGAAGGCTCAAAGGGAATTTTAAAAAGTTAATCACATTCCCTTAATCAGCAAGACTCAAAATATCAGTCGCTTTTTATTTTTTTGCTTTTTTTCATTTCCTTTGTCCTATACCAAACTCATCTATTCTTTTAATAAAATATCTTTTCTTTCTGCTTCTATTCTGTCTATTCTCCAATTCTTGTTGCTCTTCTTTCTCCTCCTCTTCCTCATCTTCTTGTTCTTTTCTTTTTCCTTCTCCTTCTCCTTTTTCTTTTGAGACAGGATTTCACTCTTGTTACCTAGGCTGGAGTGCAGTGGTGTGATCATAGCTCACTGTGGCTCCAACTCCTGGGCTCAAGTGATCCTTCTACCTCATCTCCTCGAGTAGCTAGAGCTACAGGTGTGTGCCAGCATGCCCAGCTAATTTTTACATTTTTTGTGTGTGTGTAGAGATGGGGTCTTGCTCTATTGTCCAGGTTGGTCTTGAACTCCTGGCCTTAATTGATTCTCCTTCCTCAGCCTCCCAAAGCACTGAAATTACAGGTGTGGGCCACTATGCCCAGCCTATACTTCAATTCTTATACTTGTAATTGATCAACATCCTTAAACTCTTATTTCTTTATGCTACTTCTCTGCACTGTGAAAGCACATTATCTTCATTCTTTCTTCTCTCTCATCCTCTCACTACTAAAAACCTTTTATTATCAGAGCCATCCTTTCTTCACTATACAAAATAGTACTGTTCTGGTTTAGGCAGTAAGGATCTATCCCTTGGGTTATTCCAATAATTTCCTCTCTGGTCTCCTTGCCTCCAATTTCTCTCTATCCTCTCTATTCTCCAACATTTGCACCATTTATCTTTCTAAAATAAGAAAGAGGATGCTATCACTCCCTGCTGAAAAACCTCCATTGGCTCCGCACTGGTTACAGGATAAAGTTCACACTCACTTGCTAGACATACAAACATTTTACATCTGATCACAATCTACATTTCTAGATCATCCCCTGTCCCATCAGCAACACATCCTGTAGTCCCGACACTCTGAATAAGTTCTATTTCCTCAGGGGTCTATGCCTTTCACAACACTGTAGCACTGCACATGCCTAAAACCCAACACATGCTTCTCTGATAAATCTTAACTCATTCTTTAAGACTACCTTCTACCTTCAATGCTGTACTTCTTTATTACTTTGCTAGTATTTCTGTAACAACCCCCATTATACAGTATTACATGTGTATTATGTTGTAAAGACCAACAAACAGTATTATAATGTAATTGCAAACCCTTGCTAGGCAGAGGACCATATCTCATTCACATGTGTAACCCATGCTAATCAGTGTCTAACACAGAATAAGTACTTTTGTATCCTACTCTACCTTTCTAGACTGCGATTCTGTTGCTCATCACTTTAATATTCATATTTAAACATCATAAGATCTTTTTTAAGGGAAAAGCCATATATTGGCCATACATCTCTTCTGGCTATTGTCCTATCACTCTCTAACTTTCACAGTCAAACTAAACTTGTTATCCTTTTTGCTCTCCATTTCTCTTCAACTCATTGCAATTTATTTTCTGCCCCCACCACTCCACTAAAATTGGTCTGACAAAAGTTGCCAGTAACTTTTTTTGTTGTGAAATACAGTGGACCCATTGTTTCTATGTTGGATATTCTCTCTTTGCCCTTCCAGATTCATTACCACATTTCTCTACTTGACTCTGCTCCAAGAGACTGAATGATCCCTTGCTCTTTGATTTATGGCTGAGTTTGGCCAGTGGAAGGTACCAGAAGGAGAAAGGAGGGTGACAGAAGAAAGAGGTTTTTGATAATTATTCCTCTGACTTCCTCCCTGCTGGGCTTGCTTTAGCAGTGGCTTACATTCCTCTCCCTAGGACCACAGGACCTGTCCAGCGTCCTTCTTCTACAGTATAGCTCTTTTCAGTTCAGGTCTGTGTTGGTAATACTGACTTTGTGTCAGTTCTGGGGGTGCTTTACCATCCTTTGTTGGTTTTATAGTCCCTTACTTAACCTCTCAGTCACCTCTTTTAAGTGTGCCTCCTGTTCCCTGCCAGGATCCTGACTGACAGACATTATGTGTCTGATTCTTTAGAAGTCATTTGATCTCTGTAAACTATTTTTTTTCCCATGAAAATTTATCCTTCCCTAGTTTTCATGATACTGACCTCTCCTAGTCCTATATAAGCCATTCTAGCCATTGTGTTTGCAAGCTTCTCTTCTTTTTCCACTTCCTTAAATGTTGCTGTTCTTCACTGCTCATCACACACATACTCTCCACAGTTGACCATATCCATTACCTTGGCTTCAAATGCCTTTAGCCTAAGTCTTTCTCTTGAGCTCTAGGCTATATAATTTCTACATTTATTGAAATATCCCCAGGTTTCAATCCATTATCCACAATTGTTCACAATGGATTGGAATAATATGTTTAAAAAGACAATTTCATCTTATCACTAATTTGCCTAAAATTATTCATTGACTCCTCTTAAACTCTCAAGATAAAGTTTATATTTCTTGGCATACAGATGCACTTATCTCTCCAATCTTGTATCTGGCAAAGCCATCTGTATTTTGCATTCTATGATGTACACATACTCTTACTCCTAGAGTATATCATGCTTTTGATTGCCCTTGGCTTTTGCACATGCTCATCTCTCTGTCTAAAATGCCATCCACTCACTTGTTCCAAATAACTACTATTTTCTTCAAAGCTTTGCTGAAGAATTCTCTGTCCCATGAGGTCTTTCCTGAACTCTAATTAGGATCAAGAGGATACATTTACTTGTTCTTAGTCCTAATCAAGGGAACTGTTGCCCACAGATATTCTAAAAATGGAATAACATTATGCACAGGTAAAATATTAACATAATTTATTGTCTGAATTGTGGACGTATTTATATAAATGAATTTTATATATTATTGCAATTACTCATTTGGCACTATTCTATATTTCTGAAGCACTATTTCACTTATCTTTCAGATTATACACTAGGGATTATATTTTACAATAGTATATACTTCTCCATATCCCCTTATAATGCCTGATCTACTTCTATACATGTAGTAGCATTAACAAATGTTTGGAATAAATAAATGGAAGATACAGGATGTCCGAGGGTACCCAGTGGTTGATTGGTCCATCCTATTACTTCTAGATGATTCACTTATGCCATCCTGCAGAAGAACCAGGAGACTCTGTAGCCTTTTCAAGACATCCAGGAGAGATTTTCAGTGAGGAAAAACCCATTTCTACCATAAAATTACTCTTTTTACCTAAATTTATTACAATTCAACATAATTTTCTCTTCTCAGTAAAGATATAAACATTTTAATCAAAATATCAATATCAATATTTAAAAAGTGTTTTGATGGTATGTTCCACAAAAATTATTTAACATACATAGTATTTTGTAATACCAAGGACTTTAAGACAACAAATTGGAATTCTGACCTATTCTTGGAACAATTTTCATTCTATTCTACCTCAATTTAATCTGTAAAAATAAAAGAATAAACTCTAAAACACAGATGAGGAGTAGCTGATGAAAAAGCTGACAAGCACAGTAACTAGATGGTTATACAATTATTGTAATAATTGTATACAATGATCATAAATTACTTACCTCCAGTTTATTGTTGGTCTACGGGAAAAGGGAAGGTTTACTTCTGATTTTAAGTTGGATTCCTGAATTTGTTTGAGGGCCTCTTCTAATGGAGGAACTGGTTTTCGGGAAACTAAAGAGATAATAAAGACCGAACAGTACAGAATCACTTTATCTTCAGTGGTCACTTTACATATAATTTAATTGGTTAATGATAAAATATTACTTTAAAACTTTTGTAAAAATAAAATATTTTCAGAATAGTGTAAATACTTTAAATTTTGACATTCAATTCCCAAAAGAGAATGTGTTACCTCAAAGTTTTCATCACCAATTTTAAGAATATTTATCAGGAAAAAAGAGACTTTGAGAAATGTCTGGGCTCTTCATTCCTGGCATGCAAACTCCCCTATATTTGATCTCATAGTGCCATAAACTTATGACACAATTTATAAATGTTCCTATGAAGAAAAGGGGAACATACAAAAACACCAACTAACATTTCCTGAGCACTTAGTTATAGACCTTATTTTTAAGCATTTAATGCACATAAACTAACCCTCACTATGGCCTATGAGGTATATTTTACAGCTGAGGAAACTAAGGCATAGAGAAGGCAAGTAACTTGCTCAAGGTCATACATTATTATGGACACTCATCCATATACTGCCCTGCACAACCTTTAATATAACCCTATGTCCTATATATATCCACTTTCTCAACGCCTTCCACTGTGCACTTTGGTATTCAACATACTCTATTTTACCCTACTTCTCTCTCTAAATATTGTCTTCTCCTACAACCCTCTCAAATGGAGACATCATTTTCCTCCCATCATATACTATAAATATACTATACTATCTATACATGGTATCTATAGTATATCACATACTATAAATAACTCAAGGCCTAGAAATAGGGTGAGTGAATTTCTGGCTTTAGCTCTTCGTGGGTACTTCCAAACTATCTTCCTCTTTTCTCCTTTAAAACACCAACATGTCATCAAACTTTTCCATTATTACAATGTTTGTAATTTATTTAAAATGTTTAAGCAAAAATAGGATGTTATTATGTAAGGGTTAGTTCAAACTTGAACTCTAAAGACAATCCATTTCCCTAATCAACTGGTGATTACATGAGGAATGCAAAGCTACAGGATAGTCTGCTGATATTCACATCATAAAGGATGCATCTATCAAAGTAATAAATAATTTAAAAATTATTTATTGAATGTTTAAAATAAGGTTTTCTGCTAATTTATAGAGGCACTGTTCTCCTTCTAGCCTCTCTTCCACCATTTTTTTTTGAGAGTCTTGCTCTGTCGCTCAGGCTGGAGTGCAGTGGTGCGACCTCTGCTTACTACGACCTTTGCCTCTTGGGTTTTTAAGCAATTCTCCTGCCTCAGCCTTCCTAGTAGTTGGGATTACAGGCAACCGCCACCATGCCTGGCTAACTTTTGTATTTTTAGTAGAGATGGGGTTTCACCATGTTGGCCAGGCTGGTCTCGAACTCCCAACCTCAGTGGTCCACCCGCCTCAGCCTCCCAAAGTGCTGGGATTACAGGTATGAGCCACCACGCCCGGCCTCTTTCACCACTTTCAATCAAATTAGTAACTGAATCCTACTGATTATATCTATTTATTTATTTATTTTTTTGAGATAAGGTCTGGTTCTGTTGCCCAGGCTGGAGTGCAGTGGTGTGATCTTGGCTCACTGCAACCTCCGCTTCCTTGGCTCAAGCAACCCTCCCACTTCAGCCTCCTGAGTAGCTGGGACTACAGGCATGAACTACCATGCCTGGCTAATTTTTGTGTTGTTTGTAGAGATTGAGTTTCATCATGTTGCCCAGGATGGTCTTGAACTCGTCAGCTCTTAAACCATCCACCTGCCTTGGCCTCCCAAAGTGCTGGGATTACAGGCATAAGCCACCTCGGCTGGCCGTGATTATATCTCTTGAATATAGTATCTTTGGCTGGGCACAGTAGCGAAGAAGAGCAAGACTCCATCTCGAAAAAAAAAAGGATGAATATGGATATGGATGAACATGAATCTTATCTCTTACACTCAGTGCACTGCTTTAATTTAGGAGCTTAACATCTCTTACCATAATTATTTAAATAGTATCCTACTAGTCTACTTACTTTAGTAAGTCTCTACTTCAATCTATATTCCATCTTGTAACTATAATTATCTTTCTAACAAATCTAATTATAGCAGAGACCCCTAGTTCCCCACCTAATATGCATTTTCCCTTTTTTCCTTGGTAACAGACCCTATATAGTTAGGGGTAGCAATATACCCACATTAAAAAAGCTATTTTTCAGACTCCCTTGCAAATAAAGTTGCCAAGCAGAGATCTCAGAGGTACACCCTTTTTTCCTGTTCTTTCTTCCTGCCTACAACACTGGTATGATGGTTGAGCTCTAGCAGCTACCATATGACCATGACAGTGAGGGTATAAACTGTGTTACTAAAGACTTTTGAGCCGAGTGACAGATGATCCTTCTGTCTCTCAGCTCAGTATAATCATCAAACCAGCTCTTGACTGCCTACCACAGGACGTCGTATTATATGGGAGAAAAATAAACTGTTATCATGTTTAAGCTATTGTTATTTAGCGCAGTTTTACTAGCTGCCCTTATTAACAGTAATATTTATTACTAACACAGCAATGGCTTGCTTTCTTGTTAAAAAAACTGTAAGTGGACTGTATTTTGCATAAAGATGAAATTCCTGGCATGGCATATAAAGCTCTTTGAGAACTGGCTACCTCTTTTTTTTTCTAGCTTCATATCCATTTTTCTTCTTTTCCCCATCCTATGCTTCAGATACACTGAAATACATAATTTATTTGTACAAGCTGTTCTTTCGCCTGGGATGTCCTTTTATTTTCTGTTTGCTTTGCAATATGCTCATTTGTTAAGATCCGACTTAAGTCATTTTTCCAAGAATGATGTCCTTGATGTCCTGACATAGGTTTAGTGTTCTTTCCTCTGTGCTCTCATGGCACTTTACACACTCTGCTACCATAGCAATTATCATTATGTTATTGACATTGCTTATACCACTCTCATCTCCAAAACAGGTTGTGAGATCTTTAATGGTAGAATGCAATTAGATTTTTCTATATCTCAGCTTAGCCTAAGGCTAAGTACAACACAGTACACCATATGTTTGCTGAATACATAAAGCTTCTGCTTATCACTATTCTTTATGAAGCTTTGACATATTGTTAATTGTCTTACTATTTAAGGTATAAAAATGTAGATATAATACAAAAGAACCAACCATAATCATATTTAAATTCTTAACTGGTTCCAAGTTTTTATCTTGTTGGATTATATTACTCTGTAGACTTTCTTTGTGTTCTGCCAGTCTCTCAAATATGAATTTGAACCAAACCATTAAAAAATACTAGAATAAATGTGACACTAATTTTCTGAACCCAAATGTTAAATTTTCTTTGTACTAAGCTACTTACCAAATGAATTTTAAAAGGACAAACCATTGTAACCAGTTGGAAGTCAAATCAAACTGTGAGTTTCAGAATTTAGTAATAGTGCCAACAATATTCTCTCAATTAAACCTAAATCAATTGACTATTTTTCTTTGGTTAAAGTGCTTTTACTCAAAAGTCATATTGGTCTTTTTAGTTTGTTTCCACTTCATTTCTTCATTTACGATTTTATTGTCTACTCAAGTCAAATGAGATTAAAACTTTATGTTCTCATACTGTTCTAGAAATTAAGGCACCTGCTTTCCTCCGCTGTGAAAGAGGAACATGGGCACGCTGGAATTTTTCAGTAACTTCTTCAAACTTCTGTTTTCTTTGTTGAAGTATTTGTTCTCTAATTTGGTGTTCTTTTTCTTCCTGTTCTTTTCGTTTCTCCTCAAAAGCTCTATATTTAAAACACAAAGTAGGCAACAGAAATAGGTGGTAAGTTTAGAAAATAGTTTCAAAATGACGCATTTATTATATAACAATGTTTTCATATTTCAAAATTTTATTTAAAAACAACAAATTTTAAATTTTTTAAAACAGGTGTTTGCCAAAGACTTATTTCTTTGTAAATGGTAATTTCAGAACTGTATCCAGGTCTCTTGCAACTAAGAGAAGATTCTCTAATGCAGCCCTTTCTAATTTCTGGCAGGTTTGCATACCTATTCCCACCTCGCAAACTGTGCTGTGGAAAAAGCCTTTTCTAAGGAAGCTATGCCATTTTCTGTAATGTGAAGAATGAATTCATTAGTGAAAGAAGTAGCTTTGAAAATTATGAGGTATTCAATAAAATCTGTACATTTTTCTTTTTCTTTTGGACCACAAGTTTAAAATTGGCTGTCATTTGAAGTTGGAACTGTGCTAAAAATTCAGGAAATTTACACAAAAATGTGGATTTCCAGTTTCTCTTCAAAATTTGGAAGATCTGGCAAATCTGGATTCTTAATCACACATAGCTACAAACACCTGCCCCTAATCCCTGCCATTCCCTATTTTTCTTAACTTCTTATTTCATTTATTTCTGATTGCCCCCAGACACTTGAATTTATGTTCTCTAGTTTAAGCTGTACTGTCTCAAAAATTGATTTTGTCCTTGGAAGACTGTGTGTGTGTGTGTGTATGATTCAATAATTATTTGCTGGAAAATGAAAAAAAAAAAAAGAAAAGGCAAGCCTACAAATCACTGGTAGAGAAACCTCCAAAGGGAGCTCCTTAGAATGCATGGGGTTAGGAGATGGTTGGTAAGAACTCTTTTAGAATTTTTAGTGCCATAGGTTACTATTAAGCATCTTTCTAAAGACCTCTCCTGGCTAGAACATTATTCTACTCTAAATAGCTCAGATTAAGGGAACTATATATACTTTCAGGCGATAGAGGACTACAGATCTCCAAGTGGTCCAACATAGGAGATAGGTAGAATGTAGTGATGTAGCACCAGAGGTGGGGGAGAAGATTTTTAGCTCCCAAAACAATCTCCTTCAAGAATCTCCCCAGGTCAAGATAAGAAGTTGCTTTTACCATTTGATTCAACATAATATTAGAAGTTATAGCCACAGCAAATAGGCAAGAAAAAAAAAAGGCATCCGGACTGGAAAGGAAAAAGTGAAATTAACTCTAGTCCAGATGACATAATCTTATATTTAGAAAACCCTAAAGATTCCACGTAAAACCAGCACTAATAAATGAATTCAGCAAAGTTGCAGGATACAAAATCAACACATATAAACCAGTTGCATTTCTATACACTTAACAATGAACAATGCAGAAAGAAAATAAACAATCTCAGTTTACAATAGCATAAAAATGCCTAGGAATAAACTTAACCAAGGAGGCAAAAGACTTCTACACCAAAAACTGTAAAACATCACTGAAAGAATTTTAAAAAGATGCAAATAAATGTAAAGACCTACCATGTTCATGAATTAAAAAAAGATATTGTTAAGATGACAACACTACTCAAAGCTACCTTCAGATTCTATTCAATCCCTTCAAATTCCAATGACTTTTTTTTTCTTTGCAGAAATAGCAAAATCCATTTTAACATTTATATACAATGTCAAGGAACCCTGAATAGCCAAAATAATACTGAAAAAAAAAAAAACCACCCCAAACGGAATGTTTCACCCTTCCTGATTTCAAAACTTACTACAAATTTATGGTAATCAAAGCAGTGTAGTACTAGCATAAAGACAGACTAATGGAATAGAAAAGAGAGCCCAGAAATAAACCCTCTTCTATATGGCCAATGATTTTCCACAAGGATGCCAAAACCATCTAATGAGAAAAGGACAATCTTTACAGAAAATGGTGTTGGATATCTGGATACTGCAAAACAATATAGTTGGACTCTTACCTTACAGCACATATAAAAATTACCCCAAAGTGGATCAAATATCCAAATACAGGGACTAAAACAAAACTCAGAAGAGAACATACAGAAAAAGCTTCATGACATTGAGTTTGACAATAATTTCTTGATATGACACTAAAAGCACAAACAAAAGCAAAAATAGATAAGTTGAACTTCATCAAAATTAAAAACTTTTGTGGATCCAAGGACACCATCAACACAGTAAAAAGGCCACACAGGAAATGAGAGAAAATATTTCCAATCACATATCTGATAAGGATTGATATCAAGAACTCCAACAACTCCACATCAAAAAAACCTGATTTTAAAATATGGGCAAAAGACTTGAACAGAAATTTCTCTAAAGAAGATATACAAATACAAATAAACACATGAAAAGATGCTCAACATCATTAATCATTAAGAAAATGCAAATTAAAACCACAATGAAATGCCACACCACACTGATTAGGATGACTATTATTTAAAAAACAAAACTAAATAAAAAATAGGAACTGTTAGTAAGGATGTAGAGAAACTGGAACTCTTATGCATTGCTGGTGGAAATGTAACATGGTGCAGCAGCTGTGGAAATTGGTATGCTGATTCTTCAAAAAATTAAACATAGAATTACCATATGATAAAAGAATTTCACTTTGAGGACTATATCCCAAAGAAGTGAAAACAGAGACTCAGATATTTTTATACCCATTTTCATAGTAACATTATTCATAATAGCAAAAAGGTGGAAGCAACCCAACTGTTCATAAATGGATGAATGGATAAACAAAATGTGGCATATATATAAAATGGAATTTTTTTCAGTCTTAAAAACGAAGAAAATTCTGGCATGTGCTACACATAAATGAACCTTGAAAACATTCTGCTAAGTGAAATAAGCCACTCACAAAAGGACAAATGTTGTATGATTTCACTTTAAATGAGGTACCTACAGTATTCAAATTCAGTGAGACAGAAAGTAGAATGGGGGTTACCAGCTGGTGGGGAGGGTAGCATGGGGAGTTAGTGCTTAATGGGTACAGAATTCCAGTTGGGCAAGATGAAGTTTTGGAGACAGATAATGATGATGGTTACCCAGCAATATGAATGTACTTAATGTAGTCTTTGAAGACAGAGAAAACAAAAGCGATTAAATAGAGAGTCATAATAGAGTATTCTACTTTCTGTTGGGAGGAAGGAGGCACAGCTTGCTTAGCAGAAGCTGACAGAGTCAACATAAAAAGCTCCAAATTCTACATTCATATGCTCTTGAGATTAAAATCATGTGTCAAGTAGATAAAATCACGTGTCAAGCACTCCTATGGTAGCCATAGTCAGTCTCTAAACATAATGTCCAATGAAGCATGATTATGTAGTCACCTCCCCTTTAATCAGTCTGGCCCTGTGACTTTATTACCAACAGAATGTTATGGAAGTGATACTGTGTGACTTCCCATGCTAGAATTTTGCAGCTTCCAACTTGGACTTCTGGAATGCTCACTCCAGGAAAAGCCAGACCCCATCTAAGAATTTCAGTGACTTTGAGATCACCATGCTGAAAAGAAGCCCAAGCTAGCTAACAGGACAGACAGCACTGGAGAGAGACAACTGGCTTGGTTCCAATTGTTGTAGCCTTCTCAGCCTAGCACAAGACATGTGACTGAAGAAACCATCTTGGATGTCCAACGAAGTGGAATCTTCAGATAACACCAACCACAGCACAAATCTGAGTGCAAAAGCATGAAACTTCCAAGGGAGAATAAACCAGCTCAACCATTCAACACAGATTTTTAATAAATAAGCTACTAAATTTTAGGGTGGTTTGTTATATAGAAGCAAATGACCAGAATAATAACTGTAAGTCAGTATTTTAAAAACCAGTTAACATTTATTTAGTAGAGATGGGGAGAAATGTTTATGAACAAAAATTGTTTGTTTTCTTCTTTATGTTATTTTAAAAGGATTACATGCATTTATTATATATGCTTTTCTGAAGAATAAAACTTTTTTTGATTTTAGAAATTAGTTTTGTGATATTAAAATCTTCCTAGTAAACAGCACTATGTCATGCATTATTCAGTTTCAGAGTATCAGCGCACTGCAACTGCCAACTTAGGCAACTGTCGTCTTTATGTCTCATGGCTGATAGTGCAGCATGTAACTGCATAAAATAACTTATACCTATGACATTTTTTTAAACAGAGATGTCTGTTCCAGGGATTTTTTTTTGTACTATTGTATTTTTCTTTTAGAGCACTATCTACTTCACTGGTAATGAGAACAATTTACATTTATCTAGTTAGGTAAGGAAGGAATCTTAGTCAGCTGGTATGTATTACTGATTTATGTTAGTGATGTTTCAGTGATACTTACAGATTTGTTTCCTGGGCAAATGCTTTGATGGTCTGTCCTTTAATATGGCTGATATGGAGCTAACTCTACACAACACTGTATATCTGAGAGTTGGTTTGAGAAATCCATGGCTGCCTAGATGTTCAGGGGAATTTGTTAAATAATGAGTTTATAAGCCTTCCCCTATTAAAGTATTTGAAGTTGTTTGGTAATATCTCATATCTGAGTTATCAAAGAAGACACTAAACCTTTATGTCACATGGCAGACACTTGTGAAAACAAGGAAACAAAAGTTATTTGTTGTTTAATATTTCAAAACAGGCAACATGAATTAACAACCATCTCATTGGTACTGAGTGAAATCATGGTAAACTAAATTATTAGCTTGCAAGTAGGGTAAAATCTCAGACCCTTCACAGTTTCTGACTTAACACTTGCTAGAATGGATACAAAGTAAGACCCAATTGCAAATATACACGGGCTGAAGGCAAAAGAATGGAAAAGCTTGAGAAATTTATTTGACTACATTAATATCAGATGAAGTTTTTGACTATGTATATTAATACCAGACAAATTTATTAGAGTGTTATTAATATTGGACTTTAAGAAATGGAGTATTACTAGAGGTAAAAGACAACATTTCATAATGATAGAAAGGTCAATTCATCAGGAAGACACAAAAATTATAAAGATGTATGAACCCAATAATAGACCTTCAAAATACATGAAGCAAACACAGAACTAAAGATAGAAATGGACAAATCCACAATCCTAGGTGCATATTCTAACATCCTTTCTTTGTAACAGAACAACTGGAAAAAAGTATCTGGAAAAAAGTATCAGTAAGAATATAGAATATTTGAACAACACTATCAACTGGGTCAATCTAGTTGATATTTATAGAACAGTAATAATTTATACCCAACAATCATAATACACAGTCTTTTCCCAAGTACATCATAAAAATCTTATGTTGAGCCATAAAAGAAATGTTAATGAATTTCATAAGATTAAAATCTTACAGGGTATGTTTTTGACCAAAACACATTTACATTAGAAATCAATTACGATATCTAGAAAAGCTCCAAATAACTGGAAATTAGAGAAAAAATGAAAACATAGTTCTAAGTAAACCATAGATCAAAGAAAAAAATCTAAAGAGAAGTAAAAAAAATTTTTGAATGATATAAAAATTAAAATACAGCATACTGAATTTGTTAAATGCAGTTAAAAGTGTGTTTGGAAGAAAATTTATAATTTTATTTTAAAATTTTTTGTAGAGAAGGGGGTGTCTTGATTTGTTGCCCAGGATGGTCTTGACTCCTGGCCTCAAGAAATCCTCCTACCTTGGCTTTCCAAAGTTTTGGGATTACAGGTGTGAGCCACCATGCTTGGCCAATTTATAATTTTAAATGCTATACCAGAAAAGGGGAAAGGTTTAAAATCAATGACTTCAGTTTCCACCTTAACAAGATAGAAGATGAGCAAATTTATCCTAAAGAAGAAAGAATCTAATAAAAAGAAAATAAACTGATGAAGTAGTAAGCAAAAAAAAAAAAAATAGAGAAAACATAGACAAGTTGCTTTGGAAAATGTTAAGAAAACTGATAAACTCCTAGCAAGAACAATGAAGAAAAAAAGGGAAAACAAAAATTAATAATATCATGAATGCAAGACAGGGTATCACTACAAATACCTCAGGCCTTAAAAAATAATAGGAGAATATTACAAACAACTTTATGCTAATAAATTCAACAACTTAGGTAAAATGGACCAATTTCTTGTATTTTTTTTTTTTTTTTTGAGACAGAGTCTCGCTCTGTCGCCCAGGCCGGACTGCGGACTGCAGTGGCGCAATCTCGGCTCACTGCAAGCTCCGCTTCCCGGGTTCACGCCATTCTCCTGCCTCAGCCTCCCGAGTAGCTGGGACTACAGGCGTCCGCCACCACGCCCGGCTAATTTTTTGTATTTTTAGTAGAGACGGGGTTTCACCTTGTTAGCCAGGATGGTCTCGATCTCCTGACCTCATGATCCACCCGCCTCGGCCTCCCAAAGTGCTGGGATTACAGGCGTGAGCCACCGCGCCCGGCCAAAATGGACCAATTTCTTAAAAGAAACTACTTTCCAAAACCGACACAAAAGAAAATAAAATATGAAAACCTCTACACATTAATAATTTATAATTAATAAGTTTCCCACAAAAAAAACTCTAGGTTCAGATATATTATAATTTTTTTGTCAAACGTTTAAAAGAGAAACAACAATCATACACAACCATTTTCAAAATATAGAGGTGAACAAAACACTCCCCACCATGTTTTATAAGGCCAGCATAACTATGATTCCAAAACCCGACAACACATTAGAAGCAAAGAAATTTATAGAGCAATATCTCTCATCAACATTACACAAAAATCCTTCACAAAATACAGGTTAAGCATCTCTAATCAGCAAATCCAAAATCTGAAATGCTACAAAATTTGAAACTTTTGAGTACTGACATGAAGACTGAAAGTCTGCCTTTGTTTGCTATTGCTGTTGTCTGCCAGCTGATACAGGTATTCCGGTGATGCTACTGTACTGGTTCATTACCTTGAACACGTTATTTTTTCAATGTGTTAATGTTATCTGTCATATTTTTTACTTTTAAGTACTTAAGTGTGAATAAGTATAAGAAAATGATTGCTTATCAGTAACATATAAATTCAGACTCAGGAATGGTGGTGATGACCAAACAACCGCAGATTGTCCACGTGGTTGACTGAGACAATGACATCTTTGCTTTTTGATGGTTCAATGTACACAAACTTTGTTTCATGCACAAAATTATTTAAAAATATTACATAAAATTACCTTTAGGCTATGTGTATAAGGTGTATATCAAACATAAATGAATTTCATGCTTAGACTTGAGTCTCATTCCCAAGATAACTCATTATGTATGTACAAATATTCCAAAAGTCTAAAAAGAATTAAAATCCACAACACTTCTAGTTCCAAGCATTTGAGATAATGAGCACTCAATCTGTATTAGCAAATAAAATCCAGCAGTTTATAAAAATAACATATCATTACCAAATGAGGGTTATCCATGGAATGTGAAATTAGTGCATCTCACTATATTGACAAAAAAGAGGGAAGTGATATGATCATCAAAATAGATGTAGAAAAAGTATTTGACAGTATTCAATGCACATTCATAAAAATTCTCAGCAAACTAGGAATGAGAGGAAACTTTTTCAATCTGATAGAGGGCACCTACCCAAATTCCCTAGCTAGCAGCATAGTTAATGGTGAAATAGTAAATACTTCCCCCAAAAGGTATAAGGCAAAGAGGGTTACTCATACTACTTCTAGTCCCCATTTGCACTGGAAGTCCTAGAAAGTTCACTGAGGCCAACAAAAAAGTAAAAGCCATATTGACTGGAAAGATAGACATTAAATTCTCTTTATTTGCAGACGACATAATTATATAACTAGAAAATCATCAGGAATATATAAAATAACTCCTGGAACTAATGAGAAAATTTAACAAGTTCTTAGAATACAAGGTCAATATAGAAAAATCATTTGTATTTCAACATATAAGCAACAAACAATGGGAAATGAAATTTAAATAAATTCATTTATAAAAGCATTACAAAATACAAAATATTTAGGAGTCATTAAACAAAGACATGCAAGACTTCTGTACTGAAAACTAGAAAATGCCACTGAGAGAAATTAAATAAACAAACCAAAAAAACCCAAACCAAAATAAAGGGTGGGGGAAAGAGGAGAAGAGATAAGCTGTGTTCATGGATTTCATGGACTGCAAGACTCAATTTTATTAATGCAATTAGAATTGTTATCAAGTCTCTCTAAATTGATATACAAATTCACCACAATCCCACTCAAAACCAGGCAGATTTATTTATAGGGAAAAGTAAAAATACCTAGAATAAGCAAAACTATCTTGAATCAAAACAAAATCAGAGGCTACACACTATCTTATTTCACTATAAAGAAGTGGTTCCCAACTGAGGAGAGTTTTGCCCCTTCCCCCTCAAGTGGATCTTTGACAATGTCTAGAGACATTTTAAATTGTCATGACTGGTGTGTGCTACTGGTATCTAGTGGACAGCAGGCAAGTACTGTTAAACATCCTATACTTCATCCTAAAATTCCTATATGGTAGTTCCCCTATAATAAATAATTATCTCATCCACAATGTCAATAGTACTGCTGTTGAGAATTCCTGCTATAATGCTACAATAATCAAGTCAATGTAGTATTAGTATAAGAGTAAACAGACCAATGGAACAAAATACAGAGCACAGAAGTAGACCCTCAATTGATTTTCAAAAAAGGCATCAAGACCACTGAATGGTGAAAGGAAATTATTTTCCAACAAATGGTGCTGGAGCAACTAAATAAACTTATGTGAAAAAACCACTCAACCCTTATATCATACCACACACATATAATTTGAGATGAATGATAAAACTAGACTGAAAATCTGTAAGTATGAACTTTCCAGAAGAAATCAAGAAGTTATGACCTTGGGGTGGACAAAATGTCTTAGAGAAGACTAACCATAGAACAAACAATTGATAATTGTACGTCATCACAATGTAAAACTGCTCTTTGAAAGATTTCATTAAATAAATGAAAAGGTAAGCCACAGGTTAGAAGAAAATACTTACAATATAAATCTGTGACAAAGAACTTGTACCCAGAATATATATATAGATATCTATATATATATCTTACAATTCAACAAGAAGACGACAAACAACCCAACTTAAAACACGGACAAAATATTTGAATAGATATTTCATTAAAAAACTTATGAATGGCACATCAGGCAAGTGAAAACTAAACTCAATTTATTCTTAGTATATAGCTAAAATTAAAAAGGCTGACTGGGAAGGTTATAAAGCCACTGGGACTCACATGCACAATGCTGGAGGGTGTGTAAAAAAGGTCAGCCCTTTTGGAAAACTGTTTGACATCTTCTTATATGGTTAAACATACACATACCCTAAGACTTACCAATTCTACTTTTAGTTTACTCAGAACAAATAAAAATGTATATCCACAAAAAGATTTCCTACTTATGGATTCTCTCATGTTTTACCATTTTGACTATAATTATCTTTCCGCCAGCAGCTTTATTAGTAGTCCCAAATTAGAATAACCCAATGCCTATCAATATAAGAATGGCTAAATAAATTATGATATATTTTTACAATGGAATACCATTGGGCAATAAGAATGAACTAATACATGGATGAATCTCAACATGAAAAATTAACTCTGATGATAGAAATTATAACAGTGGTTGCTATGAAGGGCAGAGATTGACTGCAAGAGGTTTCAGGGTATATTCTGGGGAATGATAATGATAGACTATGGAGTGTGAAGCTCAGTTTGAACAGAAGTGAGAACATGAGGGATGGGATTAACAGAAAAAGGGTAATAAGATAAATGGATTGGAGGACCTGGTGGGGTCTTAGAACTGTTGAATTCAGGGTACTAGAGGAAGTGGCATGGAAAAATAGGAGATATAGATCAGAGATTGAGATGACTGAAATTGAGATTTTGGAGGTGAAGTAGTAACTGTAAATAGTTGAGGTGATGTGCCATTGAATGCGTGAAGTTCAAGAAAATGACAGACCATTAGGTTGGATGAATGGTCTATGCAGACACTAAAATCACAAAGAATGATCGCTGGAATAATAGTAGGGAGACAAAAAGAGCCAAGTTGCTAAAACTTTCAAGGAATGACACAGAGGATCTATAGATGACTGCAGTAAGGAAAAGTAGGGATAAGCAGTATATTTTGATGGCATGTGCTTGAAGACAGCTGGAGGATTTTAGAGAAAAGGGAGAGCAATAGCCAGAAATGAAAACAAAGAGCGAAGATGATACCTTGTCCTTTGTATCTATCTGTGAGTATCTTCACACTTTCCATGATATCACCTTCCACCTCCCTCTCACATCCTTTATCATAGAGAAAAACAGAAGCTGTAAGCAGAGACCTTATCACATACCGAAAAAATTACTTCATCCATGTTTTCCTCAACTTGGGGTTCTAGGAACAATTTCTAATATAATGACATATCTTCAATTGCTTTAAGTCTTAATTGTTTTGGTGGGGGGGGGGTCTCGGGGGTGAAAGTTTTCCATGTTTACTTTCTTCCCAAAAGCACTGTGCATGTGAGCATTTACATGATTGGCGTTTATATTTCGGATAGAGGGATACTATCAGGGTGCTAGGGACTGATATGGAAAGAAAGTTTTGGAGAAGGCTGCTGGCAAAGTAAGTTTGTCATTACATATAAGGTGACCTGTGAAAATAATAATCATTCATTACAAGTGCTTAGTATGGTCAGGCACTGTAAGTGCTAAGTATTTTTTATGTATTACCTTGTTTTATCCCACAGCAGTTATCTGAGGTAAGCATTTTACAGACAAAAATCCTGAATCTTAAAAAGGTTCAGTAACTTGTGCAAGGCCACATAACTATTAAGTGGAAGAACTGGGAGTCTAAACTAGGCAGCCTGATTCTACCTGGTTTTAAACGAGTATACACTATGTAACAACCTTTCTGTAATTTTTTTCTTCAAAGCACTTCCATCTCCAACTTCCACATGTAACACGAATTTGTTTTCCCATGGAATCCTAAGCTTAACCTTACCATAGGATTTATCTCACTAAATTGTAATTACTTACTTTTCTGCATTGCTTGTCAGACTGTAAGTATCATAAGTTCAGTGTCTGTGTCAGCACATAGCATAGGGCTTGGAACACAGCAGCATGCAGTAGCATTGTGGAATGGAAGAATTAATTGCATTTTAACTGTCTGTCTTTCCCATCATACTCTTCAAGTTCACTGAGTGCAGAGCCTGAAATTTTAATTTCTGGAAGTCCTGTTCCTAACACAATGCTTTGTACCTGGTAGATGCTTAATAAATAATTGTTTAATAAATGTTTGACCATATGTCAACTTCAAATATAATCAGAGCACTTTTAAAAGCAGTTATCTATTATTTGTATTTAATAATGTATCTGTTTGGTATATAACAGTAAGTAAAACAGATACGGTTCAGGCAGGTATTTATTATTTAGTGAGGCAAGCTAACAAAACCAAGTAAACAAAGAATTACTAATTATCATAAGTGCTAGGAAGTAAAGAAACTCCAGTTTGAGATAGGGAGCCAGGGAAACCCACTTTAAATAAGGTAAACAGGGAATATTTCTCTGGATATATTTAAACTAAAAAACTCCAAATACGCAGGGGCAAATCATTTTAAAAATGGGGAAAAAAAGTGCTCTAGGCAGAAACAGTGTGCAAAGGTCCTGAATTGAGAGGGAAAAAAACTTAGCAAGTTTGAGAAATTGAGAAAATAACCACCAATTCAGCAATATTTGGCAATGATGAATGATAGATTTCCAAAGCTAAGAGGTGGTATTTTTCTTGTAATTATCCAAAAGTCATTTTGACAGCAAATTATCATCACCATCATTTCATATTGTTCCACAGTGGCCAGGTTTTCTGGGCTAAAATGTATACAGAAAGTAATAATAATTTCATACAGTATTTTCTGGGACTGTAGAAAATAAAGCCTGTGTTAGGTTGAGCCACACTAAATCAGGGATGGAGTGTCACCAATAAGCAGACATTTCTACTCCTGAACTCAATGATAGGCCAATAATAAAAAGTTTTAATAAGCAATTATAGTGATGATTACTATACTTCTTTCATTACTCAGTGACTATTTACAGAGTTCCTTTTATATTATTCTGTGCCAGGCACTGGTAAATGCTGTGAGAATAGAAGGAAATGGCAATAAAAATGAGAAAGATTTTCTACCATTGTAGAATTCAGAGTTGAGAAAGTACATTTTTGCTTCCTATTTACCCTGGAATTAGTCTTTTTCGCAGAAGAAACACAGTCTGCCTTAGCAACTTTCGAAGGGTCTGTTTAACATATGCAGCTCTGCCTCATGAAACATGTAGAGCACCTTGGCTCAATGTGAGCCATCTCATCAAATGACAGCTATATGCCGAACTATTTGTTCTTGTTTCCTGGGGTCTACAGCTATGGGTATCATTTTCCTCTGTTGGAAATGCTCTTGAGAAGTGAGCAAATAAACATCATGGCAACCGTTTAACAATAGAACCTAGGAAGTAGTATTTAGAGTATCTGTGGTCACAGGAGACAAACATAGAACTGAAGAACTTGCCTTTTGTGATACATTTCTTTCTTCTGGACGGAACGACATTTCAGATCTAGGTAGCTACAACTCTCTAGAAATATGATAATATTAAACTGTAAAGCTAAATATATTTTGAGACAATTAGAAATTAAAAAATTAAAAATAAGGATAAATTGTTCTTCTTGAAAGTTAAAAAAGGCAGTTGGATAAATGGTTTTTAGAAATGAAAAATACCATTTTTAACAAATAATAATGCCAACAATATGCCTATAATAGAACTAAACCCAATAATCTACTGTGAGTTTTCATTGCCTGTCAAAGAAACATGTGTCCCAGATTATAATCCTGTGCTTTCCGAGACATAAAATTATTTGAAATCCTAAAAGAATGTATGAAAACCATATTTTCCAACAGATTGTCTTTCACTTGACTGGAAAAGACGACAAATGAAATGTTGAAAATTACCCTCAATACACTATCACAGGGCAAAACACCTAAACAATAAAGATTCATAGAATTAGTAATATACATCATACAAAGGAAAAATATAAAAGTATCTCATTTCTCTAAAGGTTGAGGTGTCAGTGTAAAGAAACATATCAATTAACTAAAGCTCAAAAATTTAGTAACAAGCTCTCTTAGGTCCTCATTCACTATCCTTAGATTTCAGTTCTAACAAAATCCCTCAATTTAGTAGGTTAAAATGTATTAGAAATATTAAAAAAAAATGTGAAGGAGCTGCTAGAAGGAGAAATACTAACATCAAAAAGACACAAATTCTGCTTCTGGGAAAATGGAGGTAGACATACTTTTTCTATTTCTCCCGCTAAGTACAACTAAAACTCCTGTGCATGATATATACAGTTTGCCCTCCATATCTGTGAGTTCCATATCTACAGATTCAACCAACCCTGGATTGAAAATATTTGGGAAAAAACAATAAAAATAACAATGAGAGGTGAAGCCAGCTGGGCCTCTGGGTTGGGTGGGGACTTGGAGAACTTCTCTGTCTAGCTAGAGGATTGTAATGCCCCAATCAGCATTCTGTAAAATGGACCAATCAGCACTCTGTAAAATGGGCCAATCAGCACTCTGTAAAATGGACTAATCAGCAGGACATGGGCAGGGCCAAATAAGGGGATAAAAGCTGGCCACCAGAGCCAGCAGGGGCAACCCGTTGGGGTCCTGTTCCATGGTGTGGAGGTTTTGTTCTTTCACTCTTCATAATAAATCTTGCTGCTGGTCACTCTTTGGGTCCGCACCACCTTTAAGAGCTGTAACACTCACCGCGAGGGTCTGCGGCTTCACTCCTGAAGTCAGCGAGACCACGAACCCACCAGAAGGGACACAACAATACAATAAAAATAATACAAATAAAAATATAGTATAACAACTATTTACATAACATTTACACTGTATTAGTTATTATAAGTAATCTAGAGAAGATTCAGAGCATATGAGAGGATGTGTGTAGATTATATGCAAATAGTTCACTATTTTATATAAGAGACTTGAGTATCTGTGGATTTTGGTATCCCTGGGGGTCTTGGAACCAATCACCAGAGATACAAGGGGCAACTACGCCCTCCCCAACACACACCCATAAGAAGAGTCTGAGAAGTGAAGAAGAGGAGGTCAGCAGGCTAGGGACCCTGGCGCCTGAGAAAGGACATGGTGCTTAAGTTCTCTGGGTTTTCTTTTTGTTTCGTATATCCCAGACTTGGAGCAGAAAAAAAACTTGAAGCCTGGAAGCATCAAGCTTAGACAAAAAAAAAAAAAAAAAAGTCCTAACTAAAGCTTGCTCTCTCTAGCCTCAGGATAAGGAAAAGATCAGCTTAGCTAGACAGAAAACTTAGGCAAAAATCCTGTCACTCCATCCAAACACCACAGAAAATTGTGGTTCCACTCCCATCCAGCCAGAAAAGACTGAATGGAGAGCTTAGATTTCTATCCTTGCCTCCCTTGTAACAATGTGCCCTCAACCCTCCTGTAGGGATGGTGTCAGAGAAGCTGAGTAGAACGCCTGGCTTTCATCTCCACCTGGTGGTAAAGTGGTCTTCTCCTCATCCTGGTATTAGTAGAGACTATGTCGTGAGTCTGGATTTTCACCTACCCAGCAGGACGAAGTGCCCTACGCTCTCCATAGTTGGTGGTATCTGAGGAAGCCTGCAGAGAGATATGACTTTCACTACCATCCAGCAGTAATAAGGCCACCTCCACTGTGGTATCAATGGAGACCACGTGAGAAGCTGGAACTCCTCCTCCTGCTCAGCAGTAATAAAGAACTGTCCTACTTATCTAGTGTCCACAGAGGCTGAGTGATGAACCTTGGCTTCTACCTCCAACTGTCTGTAATGAGGCTGCATCCTTTCTTCCCCTGCTAGAGCAGTGTCAGGGAGAATCAGCTAAAGTTTAAGGTTTAAATAAGTCACAGAATCTCATAATAGAGTATGAAAATGTTTGGGTTTCAATAGAAAATCACTTGTCATTCTGAGAACCAGGAAAGTCTCAAACTTAGCGAAAAAAGACAATCAACATATGCCACCATCAAGATGACAGGAATGTTAGAATTATTTGACAAACATTTTAAAGCAGCCATGATAAAAATGCTTCAATGAGCATGTTTGTAGATGAAAAAACAGTCTCAGAAAATAAATAGAAAACATAAAGAATCAATATAAAGAAGAATCAAATGAAAAATTTAGAATTAAAAAACGCAACAACTGAAATAAAAAACTCAGTAGATTTATTAGGAGATCCAACATAGTGAAGATGTCAGTTTTCCCCATCCCACATTGATATACAGGTATAATGCAATTCCTATGAAACTCTCAGCAATAATTTTTGCAGGTTTAGATAATATTATTCTAAATTTCATATTCAAAGGCAAAGATTAGAACACCTAAAACAATTCTGAAAAAGAATAAAGTGGGAAGAATTAGCCTACATGATTTGAAGACTTATTATACAGCTACAGTAATCAAAATTGTGGGGTATTGGTGGAGGAAGAGACACAAAAAGAACAGAATAAAGAACCCCAAAATAGATGCATACAAATATGCTCAACTGATTTTTGACAGGGTGCAAAAACAATTCATGGAGGAAAGGTAGCCTATTCAACAAATAATGCTGGACCAACTGGACATCTGGAGACAAAACACACCCCCAAAAAACTATCAAACAAAACCTCCAAACTTTGGTACACATCTGATACTTTATAGAAAGATTAACTAAAACTGGATCACAGACTTAACTGTAAAACATAAAACTATAATATTTTGAGGATAAAACACAGGAGAAAATCTTCAGAACCTAGGGCTACGCAAAGAGTTCCTAGACTTTACATCAAAAGCAGAGTCCATAAAAAGAAAAACCAATAAGCTGAATTTCATCAAAATTCAAAACTTCTGCTCCGGAAGAGACTCTATGAAGAAGATGGAAAAATAATCTCCAAGGTAGGAGAAAATGTTTACAAACAACATATCTGACAAAGGACTAGTATCTAGAATATATGTAGAGCTCTCAAAACTCAATAATAAAAGAGCAAACAGTCCAATTAAAAATGAACAAAAATGTAAAGAGAATTTCACTAAAAGAGAACAGATGGTAAATAAAATATGAAAAGATAATCTGCATCACTAGCAATTAGGGAAATACAAGTTAAAACCACAATGAGATATTACTGCATACCTATCAGAATGATTAAAATAAAAAATAGTGACAATACCAAATGCTAGTGAGGATGAGGAAAAGCTGGATCACGCTTATACTCTGAAAAACGGCTGGCAGTTTTTAAACACACTAAATGGGCAACTACCATATGACCTAACCAGAGTACTCATGGTCACTTATCCCAGAGAAATAAAGGCTTATGTTTATACAAAAACCTGTATGTGAATGTTTTTATCAACTTCATTTATAATAGACTGACATATCATGTCCTTCAATGGGTGAATGGTCAAACTCTGGTGCATCCATATCATGAAATAATAATAATAATAAATATTCAGCAATAAGAATGAAAAAGCTACTGATACACACTACAACTTGAATGAATCCCAAAGAATTGTACTGAGAAAAGTCAATCCTCAAAGGTTATATATGGTATGATCCCCTTTATACAACACTCTGGAAATGAAAAAACTGTAGAAATGGAGAACATCATATTAGTGATTTCCAGGGGGTGGGACTGGGAGAGAAGTAGGTGTGGCTATAAAAGGACAACACTTGAGGGATCTTTGTGGTGATGGAACTGTTCTATTTCTTGACTGTAAACATATTATTATGCTAGTTGTGATATTGTACTATATAGTTTTGCAAGATGTTATCATTGGGGGAAACTGGGTAAAAGGTATATGGAATCTCTCTGTTTTATTTTTTACAATTGCCTGTGAATCTACAATTACCTCAAAATAAAGAGTTTAATTTGGTTTAATTTAATTTATTATTATTATTTTTAAATGGAGACTCGCTCTGTCACCCAGGCTGGAGTGCTGTGGCATGATCTCGGCTCACCACAACCTTTGCCTCCCAGGTTCAGGAGATTCTCTTGCCTCAGCCTCCTGAATAGCTGGGATTACAGGCATGCGCCACAATGCCCAGCTAATTTTTGTATTTTTAGTAGAGACGGGGTTTCACCAGGTTGGCCAGGCTGGTCTTGAACTCCTGACCTCAAGTAACGCACCCACCTTGGCCTCCCAAAGTGCTGGGATTAAAGGCGTGAGCCACTGCGCCCAGCCAACAGTTTAATTTTAAAAAGAGAAATTACAAGAAGATAGATAATCCTCAATGCAAGAACTCACCAAACTTAACTGTTACAGGCTACTTATTATAGCCTAAATAAAGCTTAATAGCTCAAAGGCAGTACAATAATATAATGGAGGAGAATATTTAATGCTCATAATAATGATTGTAGGGCATGAAGAAAAGATCAAACCACTTTTATCATAAACTATATGAAAGATTATAGAAATATGCATTGTATTTTAGAAAAATTTATGTTAAAATGTGAAAATAAAGTTTTCATAATCTACAAGAATTCCATTTCTGGCAATGCTGTTCATGCTTCATCTATAATTAATCCTTGACTCCTACTGATCCTATCTACTCCATCCAGTTCCACCTCCATAGCCATCTTCTTGCCTAGAACATTATAACAGCTTTCTACTTTACTCTTTGCCTCCAGCCTGTTTTCAATTCATCCTCTGCCCCTTTGCTATAATGAGCTAAAATATAAATCTGATCATGACACTCCTCTGATTTTATTCCTTCAACAGCATCTTTGATTTCTTTAGATTGGCATAAAAGTTATTTCATAACGTGTACTATCAACACTGTAACTTCCTCTCCTGATACTCTTCCACATATTCCCATGCATCAGCCACATACAACTTTTGTCGTGTATTTCATAACATTAGGCTTTTTCACATATTGTTCTCTCTAAATAAAACATCTCCCTTCCTCTTCATCTTCCCTGGCTAACTCTTGGTTAACTAATACGAGAGACTTTGTTCTTCCAGGAATTCTTTCTTGTCCTTTAAGTCTATGGCATGTGCTTCCATAGAATCTCGTAAGTGATGCTATTGTAGTACTTACTGCATAGCATTGCCATCTTTTATTACTTCACTATCAGTAATCTGAGGACAGAAATCATGTTTTTTATTGTTTTATCTTTCGGAATATGAAACCTTGGGGTTTCCTAGTAAATATTAGTTGAGTGAATAAATGACTATCTTACGTAACAACATTTTAAATAGTCAAAGATAACTTCCAAATATCCAAATTTTCTTTAATATAGTATGGATGGCTGGGCACAGTGGCTCATGCCCGTAATCCCAGCAGTTTGGGAGGCCGAGATGGGCAGATCACTTGAGTCCAGGAGTTCGAGACCAGCCTGGCCAACGTGGCGAAACCCCGTCTTTACTAAAAATACAAAAATTAGCCGGGCATGGTGACGGGCGCCTGTAATCCCAGCTACTTGGGAGGCTGAAGCAGGGAGAATTGCTTGAACCCAGGAGGTGGAGATAGTGGTGAGCCGAGGTCACGCCACTGCACCCTCTGCCTCCTGAGCTCAAGCAATTCTCTGCCTCAGCCTCCTGAGTAGCTGGGATTATAGGCACCCGCCACAACACCTGGCTAGTTTTTGTATTTTTAGTAGAGACGAGGTTTCACCATCTTGGCCAAGCTGGTCTTGAACTCCTGACCTCGTGATCCACCCACCTCAGCCTCCCAAAGTGCTAGGATTACAGGTGTGAGTCACCACGCCCGGCCAGATAATTGCCGGTAAACTTTTCTAAAGTTTACTGGTAGAACAGATTAACAAAATAAATTCTTTTCCTGACATAATGTTGAATCATTTGTGCTCACTGAATTCTCCATGTTGAGTGAATAAATGCCCATTCACGTATTTACCAAAAGATAGTTCTGGTTGGTGGACTGAAAAAGCAGGAAATAAGCCAGTTTATTTCCTTTCTGTGTGTGTATCTCAAAATTCCTTGGTCTACAAAGAAGCATATTAGAAAGTAACTTGAGGATGTACTCCAGCAAACTAATGGAATACAAAGAACAAACAAACAAAGGGATGCTATGAGAGGCAAAAAATTATGGCTCCAACTCCTAAGAGCAATAAAAGAAAGTTCTGGGATGCCAGTTGTGCAATAGGCCTAAAAGATAACCAGCATCTACTGGAGCCGGAAACAAAGGGGACTTGGAGGGAAACAAAGGGGACTCCATTGTATAGATACTGACTGAGAGAATGGAAAACTTGAGGATGTGATAAAAGCATACAATGCAAGAAAAATATTGGCTAATAGAAATGCAATAAATAATAAGAAAATAAAAATGTGTGTGATTTAAAGCAACTAATGAAAATAAAGAGAACTTGATGCTAGGAACATTTTCCTTTGACTTCTGCTGGACACATAACACTGACAATGTCAATGTATAACTGACAAATGGCAGGAGACTGTCTCTACCTGAAGAAAATACTATTTAAAAAAAAAACCCAAAACCACCTATAATCCCAGCACTTTGGGAGGCTGAGATGGGAGGATCACTTGAGGTCAGGAGTTCAAGACCAGCCTGGCCAACATGGCGAAACCTTGTCTCTATGAAAAACACAAAAAAATTAGCCGGGCACGGGGGTGCGTGCCTGTAATCCCAGCTATTCGGGGGGTTGAGGCAGGGGAATCGTTTGAATCTGGGAGGCGGAGGTTGCAGTGAGCTGAGATTGTGCCCCTGTACTCCAGCCTGAGTGACAGAGTGAGACTCCATCTCAAAAAAACAAAACAAAACAAAAAACCACACACACACACACACACAGCCCCAAAACAACAACAAAACAAAAAAATCCTCTGTGACCACAATGTAAGTGGACAGCATAAACTTAAATGATGTAAAGTATAAATTGATAGACAATGGCATGGTTAAGAAGACCATAATCATAGACAGCTTCTGAAATTCGGATGTGCACAAATAATTCAGCCCCCTTATAAAAGGTGAAATACAGAGACAAATGATTAGTGTTTTAAAAGAAATGTTTATGTATCTTTACATTGCACTTTAGGGTAACGGAAAATAAAACACAATAATATTGTATTGGAAAATGTCCTGCCTCTTAGAATTTTAAACCAAGATTTCTTTTCTGTTATTTTCTACATAAGAATTCTTACATTTGATGAGAGAATACAAATAGAAAATTTATTAATAAAATTCCATAAAGGCTTGCTATTAAAGTTGATTATTGTAAAATAAACAACTGATAAACATTAATAATAAAAAATAAGAAGTCCTATGTGTCAGACACTGATATTTTTACATGTATTCTCAAATATTCCACTTTATTTCTACCCTTTCTGCTCTACACCAAAATCCCTTGAAATAGATGTAATTAATTCCAATCATAAATGAGAAAACTGAGGCTTAAAGACATTAAACAGACATCCTTTAATTCATAGAGCTAGTATTTCCTAGATCTCTGACTCCAAAGTCCATTACTCTTTCAACATATGATTATTCATCTTTACTGAACACCTGTCACACGCCGTTTATAGATGCCAGGAGCCCAAAGGTAGGAGAAAAGCAGAAACCTATGCATACAAAATAAAATTCTAAATTTCAGTAAATAATTTCAACTACATCAGACAATAAAAAAGTTAATCTGAAGAGAAACATAATGCCAGGCAAAAATTACAGGTAAACAATTTTTTATTCCCCAAATGGGATTTGTTAACATATGCCCAGTGATGTAGTTAATAAAGTCTAGGGATTTTCTGCTATTCATATATTGTAGAAATATGGACAAGGTAGCAAAAACAACAATTAAAAAATGGCATAACTGCTCTGTCTCAAAAAAAGCCTAATATTTAAAAAACATCCTGAAAAATGTTAAGCAGTGATTGAACAATTTGTACTTTTTCTTTACTATAGTTTCTAGTTTACCCTAGAAAGCTCCTTTTTCTAGCATTCACTTATAAAACATTTCTACCACTTCTACTGTTATTCATATTGCTACCATTATTCATATTTTTCCAATTTTTATACCATTATTCATATTTTTTCCAATTTTTCAGATTGAACGAATGAAAAGTGGCAGATATAGAAAAATTATATAGAAGTGAATAACAAATTAAACTCAAACTATATACCAAAAGACTAAATATTAATTGGTAATTTTAAAATCATCATGAAATCATGAAATGATACAAAAAAAGAAGATAATACATTTCATAGTCATTTTAAGAAGTGTATATGACAATGCAATAAGCTGTTCTATGACAAAAAAAGACTGCTACTGTCAGAGACCTAGATAATACACCACCACCCTTGTGCTTTGGGAAGGAAAACAATAATAAAATTTACAAAGCCACACAAATCTTGATCAATGTTTCACAGATAACACTGCCATGACTTAGTTTCATAAAGTGCTACAAAGTAGAGAAACTATTACTTTATATTGACTTTGAATTTCTATACTTCTGAATAAAGTGCAATTACTTACTTTTTTCTCCGATTTGACTCCACAAAATATTTACGTGCTCGATTTCGACATATTTTTTGTTGCTGCAGTAATATCTGGCGCTCTTCTTCTAAATTTTTCTCCAGATGGATTTTCATATCTCTAATGATAGCATTAAGTTAAGAACAATGGTCTACATCTTTAGTGGATGACTGTCAGTGCTATATGATAAATATAACTACAGCCTCATGCAAATGATGTAATGATAGTTTTTGTGGAATAATTAGTATGTGCCCACATTAGTATATGACTGGCAAACATTTTATGTAAAAAAAATTCGGGGCTGGGTGCGGTGGCTCACACCTGTAATCCATCACTTTAGGAGGCTGAGGCAGAAAGATCACGAGGTCAGTAGGTCAAGACCCGGCTGGCCAACGTGGCAAAACCCCGTCTCTACTAAAAATACAAAAATTAGCTGGACGTGGTGGTGCATGCCTGTATTCCCAGCTACTTGGGAGGCTGAGGCAGGAGAATCGCTTGAACCCGGGAGGCGGAGGTTGCAGTGAGCCAAGGTTGTGCCATTGCACTCCAGTCTGGGTGACAAGAGCAAGACTCCATCTCAAAAAAAAAAAAAAAAATTCTGACTTGGTATTAGAAAGTAAGATATAGCTCACTTTTCCTGGAGAAAAAAAATCTACTTTTAGAAATCATGAGCTCAGGCTGGGCGCGGTGGCTCACACCTGTAATCCCAACACTTTGGGAGGCTGAGGCGGGTGGATCACCTGAGGTCAGGAGTTTGAGACCAGCCTGGCCAACACGGTGAAACCTGTCTCTACTGAAAACACAAAAATTAGGCGGGCGTGGTGGCGGGTACCTGTAATCTCAACTACTCAGGAGGCTGAGGCAGGAGAATCTCTTGAACCTGGGAAGCAGAGGTTGCAGTGAGCCGAGATTGCGCCACTGCATTCCAGCCTGGGCAACAAAAGCGAAACTCCATCTCAAAAAAAAAAAAAAAAAAAAAAAAAGAAATCATGAACTTCAGATAAAGAGGACTGTATATCTTCATTCATTACACAGTTTTTTTTTTTTTTTTTTTGAGACAGAGTCTCACTCTGTTGCCCAGGCTGGAGTGCAGTGGCATGATCTTAGCTCACTGCAACCTCTGCCTCCTGGGTTCAAGTGATTCTTCTGCCTCAGCCTCCCAAGTAGCTGGGACTACAGGCATGTGCCACCACACCTAGTCAATTTTTGTATTGTCAGTAGAGACGGGGTTTCACCATGTTGGTCAGCCTGGTCTCGAACTCCTAACCTCAGGTGATCCACCTGCCTCGGCCTCCCATAGTGGTGTGATTACAGGCGTGAGCCACCGTGCTTGGCCTCATTACACAGATATTTGAGTACTTACTAACAAGTTGCCCTCATAGTCATGAATATAAGAAAATGAAATAAGAAGATTGTATTTTACTAATAGAAAGTAGATGGAGTAAATGTTTCACCAGATCCCTTAATCTATAGTAGGAAAGTACATTTTCAAATATTAAACAATCAAATAGCAATATAACTAGAATGGTTAGGAATACAGTTTAGTTATTTACTTAGTGACTTAGTGGTTATAAAAAACCACTAGGAAAACTATGTATAGTCATCTGTGTATCCAGAAGCTTGTCAGAGAAAAAGAGGAATATTTTGGTTATCCTAATCATCTATTCACTTGAAATTTATTTTATAAAATTAAACTCTCCTTAAATAAGTTGTAGCAATATGAGTAATTTCTCCAATTTATTTAGTTGCGTTTTAATTGACATTATTAAGTATCTTTATCAAATTTGTCAGAGTAATTTTCTGTTTTTCATGAGTCTTCTGTTTTTAATGATTTTGAATTAAAAGAAGTTCATTTGGCTGGGCGCAGTGGCTCACACCTGTAATCCCAACAATTTGGGAGGCCAAGGTGGGCAGACTGCTTGAGCCCAGGAGTTTGAGATGAGCCTGGGCAATATGGTGAAACCCCGGCTCTACAAAAAATGCAAAAATCAGCCAGGTGTGGTGGTGTATGCCTGCAGCCCCAGCTACTTGGGAGGCTGATGTGGGAAGATCGCTTGAGCTTGGAGGGGGTTGAGTCTGCAGTGAGCTAAGAACACGCCACTATACTCCAGCCTGGGCAACACAGCGAGACTCTGTCTCAAAAAAAAAAAAAAAAGTTCATTGAATTACCGTGTAATCACATTTAGTACCTCATCATTAGATGTAGAAATATATGAGATTATACTGAAGTTATAGATTGTAGGGCATATCTATTTGTCTTTTTTAGAACAAACAGCTTGTTTAAAAACTTTTTACGCTAAGATGGAGGTCCAAAATTCTCTTTAAAGGCTGCATTTAATCAAGATTGTAAAAATCTCATAAATTGATTATTAATGGTAAAACAGAATACTAGAAATACACTCAATAATAAACTATGCGGTACATAATTTGTTAATTCAACATGTTAATTTCAGGATCCTATAGTGCTTCAGCATCAATATTATAAAGAAACTCTATTATTACATATTTCAGAATAACAGGTTTATTTGAACATTTTGTTGTTTAGACCTTTGCTGATGGGGGCTTATTTGTTTTCTTTTGTGTTGCTATTTAACCATCTTTATACCATAGGCCATAATTCATTTTACCTTCATTTTAAATAAAATTTTACACTACTTCAAGACAAAGACCCAAACACACTCACAAACATATTTTTACTTAAAGATTTCTTTTAAAGGATTTATAAAAATCAAACCAAAAGGGAAGAAAATTTGGTTCTTTGCTAGCACAGAAAAACTGTTTTTCTCTGATAGAATATTTTAACAAGAGCCAGACTTCAACAAGATGTCTAGGTATTAAAAGTGACAACTCGGCAGTAAAGAAAAGTGCAACTTCCTTTCAGGGTGCACAGGGCCAACATGAGGTTGAGGGGAGGAAGATGCTTTGGCTTAAGTGAGAAGCAAGGAGGAGACAGTTCTGTTCTCTGTTTGACATGTTTGAAGTCTCATCACGACAGCATAAAGAAAATCACAAATGTAATGTTTGTAATGTTCTGACAACTATATAGTCTTCAATTTAACCAAATGATTTTCTACTTTCTTTATATATAAGTATAATAGTATAGTATGTTTCCTGCTGAATTATTAATTATTAATATAAAGAATCCTGCTGCTTTTGTATCATTTCAAATATGGTATTCAAGTTTAAAAAAATTAGATGGCTGGTTAAATTTTGTTTTTTTATACAAGCTGTATGGTAAAGGTAGGAGTTCCATAAAAAAAACACTGCTAAATACCTGTCCAAAAGAAGGGAATTTTTATATACTTAACATTAAAAAAACAAAACCAAGAATAATATGTATTGTAACATGTGATTTTAAAGCATAGCTTATTCTACCCCACTCTATCCTCACTTCTCCTCTCCCAACTTAGTCTTTTATCCAGTTAGGTTGTTTAAAATGTTGCCATCACAAATAACTATGTATTATATAACCCATTTTTTCCCCAAATCTATTAAAGCTATGTTGATTCGATTTTTCCTCTACTGTACCTTCTTCCTCTCCCTTAACTCAGGTACTCTAAATCCCTTGCTTGGACGACTACAGTGCTCCTCTAATTCTTCTTACTCTAAACCTCTATTTGAACCTACACAAAGTCAGCTAAATGCAAATCTGATTGTGTTTCTCTTTGTTGTTCTCCAAAAGCTCCCTATCACCTTCATGAAAAATTCCAAAGTTCTTGGACCTATATATAAACCATTCTATAATATAGTTTGTTTTTTCAACTTTATTTCTTAACATTTCCCTGTATGAATCCTATGTCCAGACGCACTAAGATAATTATAAACAGAACAACCCGTGATGTATCATACCATTATCTCTTGGCACATGCTTGGCTAACTCTACTCATCCTTTCAGGGCCATCTCAAGCAGTTCGTTCTACCTTGAAGCCTTTTCTAACCTCCACTAGATGACTTGATGACACCTTCATGAGTACATGATAAGTGTCTTCTCTACATTTCTGTAACTCTCACGCCTGGCATGGTTCTTAGAATATAGTAATGATTTAATAAAAACCTCCTGAATTATTCCCTTGGAGAAAATTCTCTGGGGTAGATATGAGGACAAAAGGCATATGCATTTTTATATCTTTTAGTGCATTATAGAAAACTTGGCTCCTAAGGGGGTTATACAAAAGTATATGCCATTAGAAATGTATTATGTACCTAAGTTTCAAAATCTCATGAGCATGGGGCAGTACCTTTTAGAAACACAAGGTACAAAACTATGTTTTATTATGTATGTATTAGCAAAATACAATTTATTTATTTATTTATAGACAGGGTCTCACTCTGTTGCCTAGGCTGGAGTGCAGTGGCATAATCTCGGCTCACTGCAACCTCCACCTCGCAGTCTCAAGCAATCTTCCTGCCTCAGCCTCTTAAGTAGATGGTACTACAAGCATGCACCACAACACACAGCTAATTTTTGTATTTTTTGTAGAGATATGGTTTCACCACGTTGCCCAGGCTGGTTTCGAACTCCTGGACTCAAGCAATCTGCCTACCTCGGCCTCCCAAAGTGCTAGGATTACAGATGTGAGCCACTGGGCCCAGCTGAATGGGTTCACTTCACTTTCTATAGTAAAAGTAAGATCCCATCAGTGAGCCTGGGGGGAAAAAAAGACAGGTGGGTGGGAGTGTGTGTGTTTGTGCTGTTTGTTGGAACAGACCTGTCAGGGCATCCAAGTCTTATCAAGTGGTAAGACAGTCTATCGAGTGTGATGGAAGGTGACAGAGACCTGGCAGAGGCATTCATAGGAAAAAGAAAGAACCCTGTTCCTGTTTAGGTGAAGCTGGAAACCATCAATCTTTAGTGGTACAATCTGTATTGTTTTGTGATTTTTCTTTGACAGCATTTTTATTATTCGCATGAAGGAGTAAAGGAGCAGGACTATAGTAGTTATTGAGTGGCTGAGGCAGAATGATTGGGGTACAAATAGCCAAAGATGTTGGTGAGAGAAAGTTCAAATAGTTAAGAATAGGGTATAAACTGGAGAGGAAAGGAGAGGCAAGGTGGGTGCTAGGATAAAATGGGAGGGTTGAAGGGTAGAGATATTTATGAGGAAAAAAAGGCAGGTATAAGGGGACATGAGAGACCTTCCTTTTTTTTTTTTTTTTAAATTCCATTTCTATTTGAACTCTCAAAAGAGAAAAAGAGATTGAAATGACAGAACTTTAGCTAATTTTAATTAAATAAACTTCATAAGGTTTTGTTGTTTTATAACCTTTAGAGTCAGAAAATTCTGACTCCAGTGAGAAAATGTCTTCAACAGAAAGCCAGATGGCCTCTGAGTATCATGTTCATATTTGAAATTGAAATGTAAATGTTACCACATACTTGCTTATTTTAAGGCTGTGGTCCTTTCATTTGCTTTCTTTCCTTTTTTTCATTTAGTCATGTAAATTTGAGCACCTACTCTGTGCTAGGTATCCAATGGGAAACATTATAGACACAAAGAACATTCCAATTAAACTTATATAAAAGGTACTTTAGTGTTTTTCCAGCTAGCAAACATAATGTTCTTGATTTAGTGTTATAATCTTTATTATGTTCAAAAATAATTCCTCTGTTCCAATTTAAATATATATTATCTAAACATATATATACACACATATGCAAACTAGCAAAAATATATATAAACCAGCACACACACACACACACACACACACACACACACACACACACACACACATTGTTGGATTTTATCAAAGTCTATTGGTCATCTATTAAAATGTTCATTTATAACTTGCCTAATTTTAACTATATATTTAGCCTTTAAGGATCTTTTTTAGTGTTGTATTTCTTTATAGGAAATGTCATTCTAATTCTGGAATAGAGTCTATTTGGTTGTGTTCATTCAAAGTATTGCTGGATTCTATTTATGAATATTTTCTTTGGCATTTGTATCAAAAATTTATACCACATAAAATTTAAAAAATGAGGCCTACAACCATTTTATTAATGAAAATAACAGAAAATACACTCTCAATGAGCCATTTACAATACTTCCCTATTTTCTGATTTAGAGATAAATCAGGGTCGTGTAATAGCAGTTGTGTCCAAGAAAATATAATGTCAAGAGGCCAGAATTAAATCCATACAGAAAATGATTGTGTTCATTTCAGAGTAACCTTTAAGAGGGCAATTTTGGGGAGCAGCAAGGGCAAAAGCCAAACTGAATGGGGTTAATAATGAATAGATGAGAGGAACTAGAAGCAGCTATTGCAAGCTACCATTTTGAGAACCTGCCCAAAGAAAGAAAAGACTGAAGGGATGGAAGATTGCAGAAAGCATGATCGGAGAAGAGATATTTTACTTTTAGTGAAGCTCTATACACATTTGTCTTCCTCACTAGATTTGTATCCCTAGAACCTAGAACAGAGTCAGCCAAAGAGCAGGCACTCAATACAAATTGTTGACTTGCTGCTAAAATTGTAACAGAGTACAAAGAACATCCTAGAAATTGGAGACAAAGGGGATAAGAAAACAGAGTTAACTTGGAAAGAGAAGACACTCATCTCTGACAAGACTGAAGATGATTACACAACACCATCATTGCCAACCAAGTCCTTTGGGAATACAAAGGTTAAATCCTAATCATCACAACAGTCTCTAAAGGAATAAACCTGATTTACAGATTTTGATAACAAAATACTTCTCCTCTTTCCATTTTCTACAATGCAACCAACAGCAACATCAAAGGTAGGCTTAACCAACTCTTCGAGAAAAGTCAGAGTTAATCCAGATTGTAAAGCGTCCAGGTCCCCTGTTTCTCATTTCCTCTTTTCTGTCGCTCTGACAACAGACTGGGCAGAGATGGAAAACAAAACAACTTACCAAACTGTGTAGCCTTTAGCAGCTCTGGTAAATGCATTTAGGGCTGTGTTAGGATAACTGTTAAAACGGACTCTTTAGGATAGCAAAACATTTTACTTATTTGTGTAATTTCTCTCTCCAAGTAGTACGATAAATCAGGAAGTAGTTAATATGTAAGTAAAGAACATAATGGCATAAAAATATCCCCACAGAATACACAGTTGATGTGTTTTAAAATTCACAAAAATTTTACAAAGTTGAAGAATGGGAGTAGGATAACAGGGTGATGGGGGGAAGCAGCCACAGAATTAGATAAAATGGTATAATTTCAGGTCTAAGGTGAGACACGACAGTTGCTAAAGGAAATATCTGCACTAAGATGACTTGCTAGTTTTGATCACCCTGCGTCAAAGGTAATGGGAATCTAATTGGAAAAAGATGGGCCCCGTTTTCAACATCGCTACCCTGGCAGCCACAGGCTGGGAAGGATACAGGTAAGAGCCAGGTCGGTGATGCCCGCCGCTCTCCCGAGGGCCGAGGGGGGCTCTGTCGAGGTTGTCCGATGATTCAGTGCCCAGTTCCCCGACCGCGCTCCGGGTTCCGGGCCTCCCCGCCAGCATCCTTCACTTCAGCGCCGCCTGTCTGCTCGCCCCCAGAACCTCCCTCATGGCAGCTCCGGCTTCCTCCTCCTCCTGCTCGGCCCCTCCCTACACTCCGTCTCTCAGGCCCCGCGTCACGGGCGCGGAAGGGTTGGCCTCGACAGCCCTAGCTCCCGCGCAGCGGCACTGGTGCCTGTAGCGGCGATGGCAGCTGAGGCAGCGGCGACCTCGCCGGGCAATAGCAGATGGGGCGGCAGCAACCCTGCAGCCGCCATCTTGACAACAACCGACGGCGCGTCCTTGACAACGGAAACCTGGGAGGAGCTACAGGTCGGGGCGGGACGATGTGCCCGAAGCAGCCAATCGCAGGCTCCGGCGGCCCCTCCAGCTTCGAGCGGCGGGTGGCAACCCAAGCATCCCTAGGGACCCGGGTTGTTGCGCGAGGGGTGAGCTGAGTGTTGTTTTAGAGCCTGATGCAGTTCTGCCTCCCTTTTTATGAGAGTGTTTTTGTGGCAGTACCGACAGTGACGAAAGACAGATGTAAAATCCTCAGATACAGGCAATTGCCACCGGGAGGAGTCTGCAGTGATTGTCTGGGGGACAATTTGGAGTTGAATTTGTTAAACTACTGAATCCTGTTGTGAGATTTTGAGTTGTGAGTCTTTCTGTGGCATCATCATCCCCAAACACCGTCTCTTTAAAATGTCTTTGTGAAGTGGAAATTTTCCTTCCCTGCATTCTCTCATCCACTCGGTAATGCTTCTGGCATTCCCTCTGCAGTCGTCTTCCTTGCCTTTGCCCTACTTAGAAGGTCTACATTTCAAAGCCTCCTAATGGTTCTCGCATTGCTGCCAGATTCTGGAAATGGACCATCACAGCAAAACTAGCAATCTCTTGGGAAGATATGCCAAAAGAGATCATCGCATTGAAATGGTTTTGGGAAGTATGGAAAATTAAATGGATTTTTGAGACACTAGTTTATTGGCTATGCAAGTGACAGTTTTGAAAAAGGCTGAATCTTATTGTTGGAGCCTAATGTAAATGCATATATAAATTCTGACTGTATTTCAGTCAGTGTTTTCTTGGAAAAATTCCCAGATTGGAAGCAGAAAGTACAGACCAAATAAAGATTATTCACCCACCATTCAAATGTCTCTGCCTTTGTGAATTAATTTGTTCATTTTAAGATTTCAAATAATAAACTTTTCCAGTTGAAACTGTTTAAAACAATCTTTGCAAACTTGGTTGCAATGACTCAAATTGGAATGTACACTGGCGACAGATTTTAAAGTGCCACAACAAATCCAGTTTCGATTTAAGACACAAAACACATGAACTCTCCTTCAGAAGCATACCAACAGGATAAAATATACAATTCTGACATGAAAAGCTAAATGTATACAACTGGACACTTGGCTATCTTGGCAAGTTTTTAATTGGCCTAGCCACAGGCAATGGCCTTGATTCTATTCCCACTGCTGTCATCACACGTTTGTCTCCCCATGGGTGATCTGAGTAAAGTAGGGCAGTGCAAAGTACAGATGAATATGAGAATATTAGAGTTGCTATTTGGAATATTTAGGCATGGTTAGCTTTCCAGAAGTCCAGCTTTTGCTATATTATTAGTTTGCGATCTCGTAAGTCCTAGGCATCTCACTGCTTTGTGGCTTGGTATATTAGCACTAAGAAGCATAATTTGGTTTCTCAATTGCCTATAAATCCTTTCTTACGTTAACTTAAAAAAACACGTAATTTATGAATCTAGAAAGGAGAGGAAAGGGTTACAGCCTGAAAGGAGGGCCATCCCACAAGCTGGGAGTGTGCCTCCAACTGAAGCCTAAAGAGGCAGGTACTTTGAAGGAGGGATGTTGAGGTAGGAGATTTATGCTGAAAAGTTGGCTAAACATACATAATTTATAGGATATAGGAGGAGCTATGAATATTTATGAAGGTAGTTCTGATGCATGTATATTGAACAAACAGTAACATATGACCCATGTTCATTTTGGGCTGGAGACTTAACATTTAATTGCATTACAATTAGGCCCTATTATGTCTAAATTTTTTTTAGGACACAAAGGCACTCAAGTGAGCAGTCCTCTTAAACTGGCCAGAACCACCTCATGGTTGGTGATGTTCTCATCAGGAGAAAGTTATTGAAATCAGTCTGTTGTCCAATCAAAGCTGTAGTTATGGCTTATGGAACAGAGGGTCAGTTAGTCAGTGTCTGGTGGTGAGCTACGATTGTTTTACTATTGCTTATCTCAAGGCCAGTGTTTGTTTAGCTGCTAGAGAAAAACAGAAAACTTGTGGAAGTTAAACATAGTTTATTCTTTAAGTGTAGGAGTGCATGACTTAACCCTTGCCTGGCATGGCCTTAGGTCCTATTTGTAATTTGATATCTTACTGCCACCAAGTGTCTGTTCCGTCAGTCTAATGATCTCTACTTTAACGTTAATCCTGGTCAATTGTGTCCAAACTACAACAGGAAGAGGATATAATGAGGCATAGCTGACCTTCCATCCCATTATGGCTGGGAACTCAGTTTTAAGGTTTTCCCAGGGTCCCCTTGGCCAAGAGGGGGTCTATTCAGTCAGTGGGGGCTTAGGATTTTATTTCAGTTTAGACTTATATAATTATTCTTCATTCAAATATTGTTTTACGGTAACAACCAAGAAGAAAAGAAATTTCAAACAATGTTGCCAGTTTTTTTAATCATAGGTTTTTTCGACCTTTAAATTCTTTCTTTATTTCTTCAAAATATTAAGTGGGTTTTCCACATTCTATTTAAGTTGTAGAATCCTAGATTCTTATAGAAAGGCAGGGCCCAAGGGGCTCTGAACATCATGATGCTTGATTTTGTCATGACTTTTTTGTCAGTGTTATTTATGGAAAAAGGCTTTAGGATTAGATATTTGGATAATAAAAAATTTGAGGATTTTATCAACTTCATCTCTTGACAGGAAAGGCAGTTGTGATTCAAGCAGTAAAGAAGAATGTTACCCTAAAATCCCTATTTTTTATCAGAAGGGGCATCTGAATTAAATACAATGTTATATTCTTTCACACTTTAAAACCATAAAACAATTCCTTCTTTTGCTAAGGAAATATATATTGAGCACCTACTATGTGCCAAGCACTTTCCAGGTGCTAGGGATACAGTGAATAAAACTTCAAAGTCCTTATGTTCGTGAAGCTTATATTTATTTTTCTTCCCCACTAGAACATATTAGGGTAGTGAAAAGTGCTACATGGAAAGTGGGATAGTGAAGGGGGATAGAGACCAATGTCAGTTCTATCTGTGAGAGGGTGCTCAGGAAAGGCCCCAAAGGAAGGGAAATTAGGACAGAGGTCTGAATGAAGGAAAGAGGTTGCCATTCAAATATCTGGATGAAGAATAAGGGCACAGGGGTCTGTGAGTACAGAAGACTGTGAGGACAGAATCATACTGTTGTGCTCAAAGAACAGCACAAGACCACTGTTGCTGGAATAGAGTGAGGTAGGGTGTATTAGGCAGTTCTCGCACTGCTATAAAGAAACACCTGAGAGTCGGTAATTTATAAAGAAAAGAGGTTTTATTGGCTCATGGTTCTGCAGGCTGTACAGAAAGCATGGCAGCATCTGCTTCTGGGGAGGCTTTAGGGAGCTTTTTACTCATGGTAGAAGGAAAAGTGGGAGCAGGCATCTTACATGGCAGGAGCAGGACTGAAAGAGAGAGGGGAGGTGCCACACACTTTTAAAATGACCGGATCTCATGAGAACTCACTTACTATTGTGAGAACAGCATCAGTGGGGATATCTGCCCCCATGATCCAATCACCTTCCATCAGGCCCTACCTCCAACATTGGGGATTACAGTTTGACGTAAGATTTGGGCGGGGAGGCCTGGCATGGTGGCTCACGCCTGTAATCCCAGCACTTTGGGAGGCCAAGACAGGTGGATCACCTGAAGTCAGGAGTTTGAGACCAGCCTGGCCAACATGGTGAAACCCCATCTCTACTAAAAACACAAAAATTAACTGGGCGTGGTGGCAAGCGCCTGTAATCCCTGCTACTTGGGAGGCGGAGGAAGGAGAATCGATTGAAACTGGGAGGCAGAGGTTGCAGTGAGCCGAGATTGTGCAATTGCATTCCAGCCTGGGTGACAGAGCAAGGCTCTGTCTCAAAAAAAAAAAAAAAAAAAAAAAAAAAAAAAAAAAAAAAAAAAAAAAGATTTGGGTAGGGATGCAGGTCCAAACCATATAATAAGGGAAGTGTGCTAACATATGAGATTGTAGAGGTACATGGCCCAGATTTAGTGGCGACTTGTATTGTATGCAAGGACTTAATGTAAAATCCAACTTTCAATGGAGGGAAATCCATTTGAGAGTTTTGATTAGAAGAGTAACACAATTTTATTGAACCTTTAAAGAGACCCTCTAGTTGTTGTGGGGAAAACTAGGTTGTAGGAGATAAGACCAGAAACAATAAGGACAGTTTTAAGGTTACCAGAGATGGCAGACTTGGACTAGGATGGTAGCAGTGGAGGTGGCAAGAAATGTTTACAGTTTGAACCTTGAGCCAATAAGATGTGTTGGTGGATGGTTGCAGTAAGCGAGAGAAAAAAAGTCAAATGTGACTCAGATTTTTGGCTCAAACAATTGGATAAAGTGTGTTGCCATTACTAAGATGGGAAAGAATAGGTAGGGGTGGAATAAGGAATACGAGTTAGGCTTCAAACATGTTAAATGTGAGATGTCTATTAGACATGCAATTTCATTAATGTGGTCTCATAAATCGTTGATGTTTTATTTACAAAGGAAACTAATAATAACCACTTTATGGTTATAAAGCATATTCACATAACTTATCTAATTTGAATATATATATATATATATATATTTTTTTTTTTTTTTGAGACGGAGTTTTGCTCTTGTTGTTCAGGCTGGAGTGCAATGGCATGATCTCGGCTCACCACAACCTCTACCTCCCGGGTTCAAGCAATCCTCCTGCCTCAGGCTCCTGAGTAGCTGGGATTACAGGCATGCGCCACCACGCCCAGCTAATTTTGTATTTTTAGTAGAGACAGGGTTTCTCCTTGTTGGTCAGGCTGGCCTCAAACTCCCAACCTCAGGTAATCCGCCCGCCTCAGCCTCCCAAAGTGCTGGGATTACAGGCGTGAGCCACCGCGCCCAGCCTGAATATTATTTTTAGTATCTTTAGAACAGAAAATAAACAGAATTTATTTGAGCAAAGAATGATTTACGAATTGGGCAGCACCCAGAACAAGAAGTTCAGAGAGCTCCACCCAGCAGCATGAGCAGCAAGATTTTGTTGGACACAGAAACAAAGTAGAGGAATCATGTGATTGCCTACAGCTAGGTGTTTATCTTATTTGGGTATACTCTGATTAGTTGGCTGCCTATGATTGGCTGAAACTCCACTATTTGTTACAAAAAATATACTCCTAAGTCAGGCTGCAGTTTGCTACAGAGGAACTCAAAGTACAGAGACAGCCTCAGGCAATGGCCTCCTGCTTATTTAATTTAACAAGTATTATAACCATGTGGCAGCTGTGATGGACAATTTTTTTGTGCTTTCACTTTTGTCTTGGCTGAGGCTATTTTTTTTTTTCCATCTTCCACTGAAGTATTTTCTTGCTCAAATAAGAATTTCCTGAATTGGTCTCTGGGCAAGATGTGAAAGAACAAAGAATTTTAACATCTGGCTGATTTAAAGTTCTGCCAACTTCTGCTGAAGTTCTGCCATTTTCACTTGAATTTTGTAAGACTTCAACTAGAAATTTAAGATTACAATATGTGTATTTGCCTATTAATATAAATTATAAAAGTCATCAATATTGTCCGCAATGTTACATATCTTTTAATCCATACAACAATTTCCATAATACAAAGGAGGTAATCAAGCTATAGCAATATTAGTAACTTTGTCCAAGATTCCAGGGTAAGGGAGTGTTGAAACTAATCTTTAAATCAGGCAATCTGGTCTTGGAGCCGGCACTCCCAACCATCTCATACTGTCTCACTGGAGAAACTCTGAGAAAGTGATTGCCACAAATAAGAGATATGATTGTTTGGGTTTAAATAGTAGGTGGTGAGGAAGGAAAGTCAGAGAACAGATAATTATTTTAAGCTGTTTCTTCATTAAGAAAATATTTGAGTGCCTCTTGTGTATCAGTCATTGTACTAGTACCATAAAAACTATGGCAGTTCTCAGGTTAGGAAAGGAGATGGAGAAAATAATGTCTCGAACCAGAAGGAAGATGCAGGAAAGTTTTGCTTTGCCTCTTAATTTTAGAATAATGAAGACTTAGGCATGTGTGTAGAATGAAGGGAAGGAGACATTGAAAGGGAAAATTTGAAGACATTCATCTATCAACCTTCAAAGAGTGGTCATTTTCAATAATATTATTTCTCTGATGTTCAGAATTTTTACAGTTTTAACAAAATAGTTGTAATTAGATTACAACTAATTACAGATTAATTACAGTCTTAGAAATTTGCAATTTTTTTTTTTTTTTTTTTTGAGATGGAGTCTCACTCTTTCGCCCAGGCTGGAGTGCAGTGGCGTGATCTCGGCTCACTGCAACCTCTGCCTCCCAGGTTCAAGCGATTCTCCCTGCCTCAGCCTCCCTAGCAGCTGGGATTACAGGCACCTGCTACAACGCCCGGCTAATTTTTGTATTTTTTAGTAGAGACGAGGTTTCGCCATGTTGACCAGGCTGGTCTTGAACTCCTGACCTCAGGTGATCCACCTACCTCAGCCTCCCAAAGTGTTGGGATTACAGGCGTGAGCCACTGCGCCCAGCGTTGAGATTTGGCATTTTAAAAGTATATTTTAAGTCTGAATTATCTGCTCTGGATGTCCACCTCGATCAAATTTCTACTTAGCATTTTATAGAAATAGTTCCAAGGTAATATTTTTCCCACTCCATCAGTCATTTCTACTTCCTATTTTTTTGCAAGCAGTTTGCAATTATTGATGTATAGCTTATCAAAGCCATTTTTTTTCCCAAGGCAAGAAAAGGCTGACTCACAAAAATTAGATGAATTTATAAATTCATGCTTTATTTATCTGTCTACATCTGTCATTTATTTATTTATTTACTTATTTATCTATTTGTTGCCTATATTGCAAAAGCTTGGATTTATAATACAGACATGAAGTGATAAAAAAGGAATTGTACAATTTAAAATGTCAGGATCTCCAGAGGCTACTTTGTTTTTCATATGAAGGGTGTTGTTTCAAACCAGGGCATGGAAACTAGTAAGTTTTGGCTTATGTTTTTGTTGTACGCTTTCCAGAGGTTTTTAACTGAAGACTCTATGCTCTGTAGTTCTTTCCACAAAGAGCTGACTGATATTTGAAGAAGTGTTTTCATCTATCCAAGAAAAATATGATGTCTCCATCCCAAGCCTCACTCTTATTCTTAAATGTATGTATTTTTATTTGTGGAGAAGCTGTACAAGGTAACTGTGTACATCATTCTACGGTAAGAATTTTAGCAATATTATATTAGCTAGGAAAGCATGATTAGCTTTCAAGATATATATTAGAATTTTGAAAAGATTAATCATAACTACCAAATATAATTTATGGAACAATTAAAACATGTATTTAGAAATGTTGAAAATTGCTTTAATATTACTGTATTTAAACTGAGGAAACTATAAACTGAGGATTGATTCAACAGATATGAAAATATTTTGAAGACATTTCAGGCCTAGATTAAAAACTAGCCCACAACTTTTCAATGAAATATCTGATAGGTAGTAAAAAATCACTTTGCTTAAAAAAAAAGCTGTTCCACAAACTTTCATATTTCAAATATTGTCCTGTGAGTGGCTACCCAGGAAATTAAGAAATTGGTCCGTTTGATTTTATTTACTCATCAGGTTTATTTGTGGAAGTTTGAATTAAATAGCTTATATTTCTCTCTAATGATCAGCCTTGTCTTTCCTGAAATCTAAGCTTTTCTCTATAGTCTTTTTTATTATGTATTAGGTCATATAACATGTTTAATGTATTTTTTTCTTATTTCTATTTTTTAATATAAAGGACTCTTCAGTAGTTAACATTGTAGAAGATGGATCTAATGCAAAAGATGAAAGTAAAAGTAATGATACTGTTTGTAAGGAAGACTGTGAGGAATCATGTGATGTTAAAACTAAAATTACACGAGAAGAAAAACATTTCATGTGTAGTAAGTATTAAAAATAAACAAAATAATAAGAGTATATGATTCATTATTTTTAGGGTAGACACTGAAAAGTATACTTTAGCTTTTGTCTGGGTCATTTTCTATACATCCTGATCATCCTAGGCCAGAAGCTTTATTGTTTGGCCCATAATAGGTGCTTAATAAATATTTGGTAAATGAATGGATCCTTTCTCTATGTAGCTAATTCTGTGTGCAACAAAAGGGTCTCAGGCTTCTCAAACCAATGAGTGCAGCTTTAGACCTATTAAGACAGATGGCTAAATTCAGGAAAAAGCTAATAGAAAGTGACAGACTGAAAATAAGAAAGAGAGAGGAAGCAGAGTGAGGTAGAATTAAAAATATCAAGATTTTTTAATGTGATTCTACTGCTGGTGGAAAGAAAGTTAGAAAATAAAATTTTAAAGAATAACATACGTAATAGTGTGTGGGCCCTTTTGTTATAGGGGGCAACATTATTACTATCTTGGGTAAAACTCACATAGGGTCTGAGAAATATAGGTAGTGAATGTTTATTTCCTAATTTTGGTGGTATGTTATTAGAAATGTCTTTGGTGTAAGAAATATACACTGAAATAGCATGACGGTACATCATGGCAACATGGTCTCAAAGGCATTAGGAAAAAGTTATTTGTACTGTTATCGCAACTTCGCTATAAGAAATTTTCTCTTAAGATAAAAACATTTTTAAAAGGAAAATGTATAGTAAATGTTTAGTCAGAAACCAAATAACCAAAACCTTTGACTAACATTTATTATGTGTATGTATATGTATGTGCTAGCAATTTAATTGTGTAAATATAGTATTAATAGAAAAATTAAAACAAAGATGTACTTTTTAAAATTAACTTGCCTGGTATAAAACTGTCACCACTAACTTTCTTTTACAGTAAGAATTGATGAATCCTATAACTCCTGCCTCTATATATCTCATCTTATAAAGTGAGAATTTATAATCAGAACACTGTCTCTTAATGATAACAGATTAATTATTCTGGGTAATCTATATTAGTAGGAAGCATAGTTTCATTAAGAAGTATTGAGACAATCATTTCTGGGGTTAATCCTGAGTTAAACAAAAGATATACTAACTAAAATATGTAATTCTGAGTATTAAGATAAATTGAGATAGTATTGAGTTAACATACATATCCAAAATCAGGTAAAATTCACTATTTTTCACTGTAATTGTTTTCTGTAACAATATAATATTTAACAGCCACTTTTTATTATGGTTAAGGAAATTTGCAAAATTCTATTGTTTCCTACACAAGAAGTACCAAAAAACTACTAAGGAATATGATGGATGAGCAACAAGCTTCCTTGGATTATTTATCTAATCAGGTATAGATGTTTTAGTATTGTGTTGTTATTGCATGTACACGTTGATGTATAGTTAGCTGGAGGTATAATCTTTTTTTAAAATGCATTCATGTTCAGACATCTATTTAGCGCCTACCATGTTAGAGGCACCATAGTAAACTTTAGGCAAACAAAAAGCAGTAAAAAAATCGAACTTAATTCAAGGGGTATGGTCTAGTGGAGCATTAAAATGTGTTGACAAAAATGTGGTTGCTAGAATGGCACAAAAGAGAACTCTCAGATACAAAAAGCTTCCCAGAGGAGAAAGTCTGTTAACAGTCATGAAGGATGAATAAATGTTTTAAAAATCATAAAGGTTGGGTAAGGCGAAGAGGACATTCCATTCTGGGGAAACTTCTTGGTGTTGGTACAGGGTGGAGTGGCTGGTGAGGTTGAGTATTTAAGGAAAACTGACTATAGGAATAGGCAAGAACGAAGTCATACCACACCAAGGAGCCACTGTAGTGTTTAAGCAAGGAAATGCCACAATCTGATTAACTTGTGTGGCCAATGACTTGAGGAAGAGCCAAAGGAGGAGGTAAGAAACTACAGCAATGGTTTGGACAAGGTATGAAGGGCAGATGTGCAAGAGCAGCCAAATGCAGAAATCGGGGCAGATAAAATCAACGTTAAGGAGGTAGATACTACGAAATTTAATGATTGCTATTTAGCTTTGCCTTTATTCTTTGTTAAAGCAGTAAGAAATCAATCTAGAAAAATGGGCACCATTACGTATTTCAGAGCTGGGTTTATGAGAGGCTTAGAGATGGCAATTTCTTCAAATATAAATTTACTTAAATGTGTATGCATGTGTTTAGGTTAACGAGCTCATGAATAGAGTTCTCCTTTTGACTACAGAAGTTTTTAGAAAACAGCTGGATCCTTTTCCTCACAGACCTGTTCAGTCACATGGTGAGAACTTTGGTATTTCAGCCTTTTCATGTTTGTCTTTTATTGCTTAAAATTTTCCTGGACAGGTCGATCCATTTAAAAGTTTTATTTAAAAACTACAGCTCACCGTTCTCTAACAGACTGGAGGGCTAATACCTGCTATTAAGCAAATTTCACCATAGACAACGTGTACTTTCTTAAAATGGGAAACTTTTTCAACCATGTGAAAGCCATGGCTGTATAAAGATATCCTGAAGCTGTTGAAAATAACATAGCTTTCTATAGCTTTGTTCTGGACTCCCAGTTTATATCTTATTAATAATTCATCTTCAGATAGAAGAAAAGAAAGTTTCAAAGTTCCTCCCACCTGTAAAAAATGTTTTTGACATGTTTGAAATGTTTCAAATTGGGGCATAAAATTTGAAAAGAAAAAGAAATGTAAGACAAGAATAAACTGAAAGTTAGCACTTTTTATACTAAAATACAGCATATTAATTCCTAGAGGTTTGGACTTCTAAGAAAAATACCCTATAAATCTTATAAATATGAATTTATCCCCAAATGTTTAAAGCAAATAAATATTATTGAGGGCCTAGAACATGATCTTTATGTCCTTCTTCGAAAAAGAAGACAATAAACAGTGCCTAAAAATCTTCTATGTGATAGGTAGGAAGACAGGCACTTTCTCACATTATTTTGTTATTAAAATTATTTTATTATATCTCATAACTGCCCCAAAGCAGGCATAATGTGGTAGTCAGGAGCATGGACTCTGATGTCAGACTCCTTGGTTTCAAATTTCTTGCTTGCTGCTCTCTTGATATGTTTTCTCATCAGTAAACTGATAGTACCTACCTCTTACAGTTGATGTGAGGATTAAGTGAATAAATACAGGAAAGTCTCTTAAAATATTGCCCGAATCAAATGTTTATCACAAGGAAATAAAAAAAATGCCCGAATCACAGGCAGAACAATATAAGGGCTTGCTTGCTATGATCATCATCATCAGATAAGAAATATCCAGCCCAGAAAAATCGAAATAATCTGTTCACATTAATTTGAAAGGTAATGACATAGCAGACACTCCAACCCAGATCGGTCCTTCAGCGTGAACTTCTTTCATGTCTCTGAGCATAAAGTCATTATAAGAATATCTCTTAACAATTAAGGATACAGGCAACAACAAATCTATGTCTCCCAGAGACGAAGGGGAAAACAAGTGACTTTTTATAGCTAACTTTTTGTAGATGGCATTTTCTTCATTATTTGGGTGTGCTGGGCACTATGGTAAAGGCTTTATGTAATACCTTACTACGTAAATAGTTAGGATAACACTATGAAGTAAAGTGTTAGGAGTAGAACTAGGATGTTAAGATGGGCATTTGGATAATGGACGCTCTAAGGGTTGAATTTATTTCACTTATAAAAGATGCTACAGAGTAGAGTATCTTCCAGAAAATGTAATATCCATATCCACATACACGTGTTTACAATCCTGGGGAGATGAGTGCTTTGGAGAAGGTGATTATGGGGTGCTATAATTCTAACTGTTGTTAACAGAGTAGGCTCTAACATCAGGCATAATTTCTTGGGGAAGAAAGTGATTTTCCCCTTTCTTCCTTTGGCTACTTGTATTAGTGGTCCCAAACACATCAGTCTCTGAAGTTGGGAATAGAATAGTGAAATATGTGTCTGTAGTGGTTAATCTACTTATTCCTTTTGGTTTTCTCCTCCCTATTCATGTAGATTTCCTTTACACATTACATTCTCTAAGATAAACCTAAATTTCTGAAATGGCATTATTTATTGGTAAAGAGAATGTGTAATTATAAAATATGTTTAATAAGTGTTGATCCCAAATGAAACTTTTAAATAGTATAGGAAACTAATCACTAACAGTGACATTATAAGTGAAGGCTTATTGCAGCATAAATTCTTTAATCCCTTATATTTTCTTTTTATTTCTAAAATTGTGACCATTTTTCATTTTGAAGAAGTTAAAATAATATAATAATGAAAATTATGATAATAGCACTATCAATTCTCTATAGTAAAATGATTGCCTTAAATGTACATTTGAAAATATCCCAATTAAATAATTTTGCTTTTCTAGGTTTAGATTGCACTGATATTAAGGATACCATTGGCTCTGTCACCAAAACACCGAGTGGTTTATACATAATTCACCCAGAAGGATCTAGCTACCCATTTGAGGTATTTCCCGTATTTGAAGTTTTCCCGTATTATGTGGGCTAAGATAAACATCCAACCAATTTAATTTATGTTAAAATTTAAATTGTTTTAATATTTAATTTTTCCTCAAAAAATTTTAAATAAATTAGGTAAAGTTCTACTTTCAAAATTTTGGTTTTTTAGAATTCTAATGCCCAAAACATGAATTAATAAAAGAGCTAGAGTCTGTCTTTCACTTTTCTATTTGAGTTTCCATGGTTATACTCTTTAAAGTAAATCCATGTGATGCAAAAGCTTGTATTATCCTCGTAACAGGCAGAACTATAGCAGGCAGAACTATGCAATATAAATACTTGCTTGCTTTAATTAGCCTGTGGATATTGGAAAATAATGGTGTGCTTTGCCTTGGAGCTTACTAAAAATACTTTTGACTTCCCTTCCTGTATATGGTTATAATTTCTTCTGATGATAGATGATTTTATGTGATTGTATGAGAAATTAATAATTAAAAAACCTTTCAGTGGGGTACAAGGCAGACTGAAAAGCTGATTCATTCTGAAATTGATAAAATAAATTACTCTTATGTCTATTCTTAGTAGTTCTCTGCAAGGATATCTAGTAGAAATTTCTACTAGAGACTATGCATATTGATGGAATATATATGTGTGTGTGTATATATACACACGCACACACACATACAGTTATATATATTATATATATATTTTCCTGGGCACTTCTTTGTGCAGAAGAAAGTTTATGATACTTATACCTTATTGATAGTCTTTATTGGATAATAAAGTCACTTTTTTTCTAAGTAAATACTACCGGTTTCTCTTCTTAGAGTTACTACCATTATTTTATTTGGAATCTATTGACAAGATGTCAAAAAATTGGAAATTAGGTGGGAAATAATTTTAAAATTACCTAAGTTACTTCACCTACAGATTCAAAACTGGATCTGAACAGATGTGGAAAAGGAAGGCTTCTAATTTTATGAAGAGTGGGATGCATAATCACCTCTTTTGTGGGAAAGTGCTGGTTCCTTAACTTCCTCCACACTGCCTTTTCTCTGTCTCTATGCGGGAAGTTTCTGAGGGAGAATTTTGCTCTGATTTCTTCCCTATATCGCTTCTATGGGTGCCCTACAGAGGTCCTTTTAGGGGCATTTTACACAGCATCAACAGATGTGTCTATGAGCACCTGCTGAGTGGGCACAGATCATGCCTTTCTCTGAAAATGCCAGTCTGAAAACAGGCCTTCCAGGTTTGTGGGAGAAAAGAGCAAAGACAAGCACGTGAAATATTTAGCCGTGCACACACACCCCCCCACCCCCAGTGTTTTAATTCAAAATTTAGTTTATAGAGAAATACATTGCTCTGCCACATCAGAGCAATACTGTTATACAAACTGAAGAATATTTATAAAGTTGAGTAATAAGAGGATAACTTTAAAATGCTGCAAATACGGCCAGGCGCGGTGGCTCACGCCTGTAATCTCAGCACTCTGGGAGGCGGAGGCGGGAGGATCACGAGGTCAGGAGATCGAGACCATCCTGGCTAACACAGCGAAACCCCGTCTCTACTAAAACATACAAAAATACAAAAGAAAAAAAAAAAAAAAAAAAAAGCCGGGGGTGCTAGCGGGCGCCTGTAGTCCCAGCTACTCGGGAGGCTGAGGCGGGAGAATGGCGTGAACCCGGGAGGCGGAGCTTGCAGTGAGCCGGGATCGCGCCACTGCACTCCAGCCTGGGCGACAGAGGGAGATTCTGTCTCAAAAAAAAAGGGGGGAAAAAAAAGCTGCAAATACATATTTTTAAAAATGATTGTTATAAGGACTGTGATTAAGTTAATTACAAATTTGTTTGATAATAAACAGTATTATTTAGGTTAATTACAGGTTTGCTTTATAATAAACAGTATTATTTCTAGAAATATAAAAAACATCTGAATAAATTAATGGCATATGATTGCATTGAAAACTCAGTGGCAGTACCGTCTCTTTTTCTAAGCCTAAGGATGAAGCATGAGTGTTATATTATCAAATAATGAAAATAATAGTGTATTATTTTGGTCTTCTCTGTGCTTATTTTAGGTAATGTGTGACATGGATTACAGAGGAGGTGGACGGACTGTGATACAGAAAAGAATTGATGGGATAATTGATTTCCAGAGGTTGTGGTGTGATTATCTGGATGGATTTGGAGATCTTCTAGGTTAATTTTTTTGTATTTCTACTCTACATTGTTTACTCTTTTTGATATTATATCTATAGAGCCTCTATTGGTCAGATCTGTAGTAAAAATAGCAAATGCTTGCAAATATCAAAATATAACTTAAATCACCCTCTTTTCATATGCCAGATTATTTAAAATAAGTAGGTCTTCAGTGGAGATCTGGAAATCTTTATTTGTAGATATCTGGTGAAATGTGATTTGAGTGAAAATTCTAGATTGGATATGTATTAAGTATCTATTATGCACCCAGCAGAATTCTGGCAGGTGCTCACCAACGGTTTGCAGAACGAAAAACTGAATGGCAGCGTTGTCCTAGATCTTAAAATTCTTGAGAGGTGTGTTGTATCTATACAAGCCAATGAAATGGCGAATTGAGGTATGTGTCTGTGCAAACCCAAATTATTTAAACTGAGCATATTATTAAAATGTCAGTAAACATCATTATGCTCAAAATTTGAAAATTATAACCTCAGGTCAATGTAAAATCTGTTTACATTATTGCCACATGGCACCATCACATTTGCTGGTAAACAGAAACACCAATATTTCTGAACTTTGCAGAATTTTACATTAATTGGAACTTCTGCCAGTGAGTTTACTAATTTTTATGCTATTTTAACAGTTACTGTTTTTATAATTGTAAATCTTTAATCTCTCATAATAATGTCATCCAAGGATTTGGTAAGTGGTGGTGTCAGTCCTAGTGCTAAAAATGCTACTGAATGCCAGTGATTTTAGAAGCAATTTGGCTTATACCCAGGTAACTGCCATGCTCTGGAGTATAGTGAATTTACTTGCATTTTCTCAGCATTACTTCTGATTTTTCCATTGAGTGCTTCTTCTTGAATTAGGTAGTTATAGATCCATATGCAGGCTTTGCCATCTTCCTTACTTCAAATTTATTTCTATGGGGAAAGAATATGAGTTTTGACTAACCAGGTCTTCAGGCAGGTATACTGCATACAAACTGAGACTGCTTTGTACTGGTGTATTTTGGAAACAAATTTGGGGCTGGGTGTAGTGGCTCACGCCTGTAACCCCAGCACTTTGAGAGGCCAAGGCAGGTGGATTGCTTGAGGCCAGGAGTTTGAAACCAGGCTGGCCAACATGTTGAAACCATGTCTCTATAAAAACACAAAAGACGGATTCACAGCCAAATTTTACCAGAGGTACAAAGAAGAGCTGGTGCCATTCTTTCTGAAACTATTCCAACCAGTAGGAAAAAGAGGGACTCCTCCGTAACTCTTTTTATGAGGACAGAATCATCCTGATACCAAAACCTGGCAGAGACACAACAAAAAAAGAAAATTTCAGGCCAATATCCCTGATGAACATTGATGCGAAAATCCTCAATAAAATACTGGAAAACTGAATCCAGCAGCACATTAAAAAGCTTATCCACCATGATCAAGTTGGCTTCATCCCTGGGATGCAAGGCTGGTTCAACATATGCAAATCAATAAACATAATCCATCATATAAACAGAACCAATGACGAAAATTACATGATTATCTCAATAAACGCAGAAAAGCCCTTTGATAAATTCAACACTCCTTCATGTTAAAAACTCTCAATAAACTAGGTATTGATAGAACGTATCTTAAAATAGTAAGAGCTATTTATGACAAACCCACAGCCAATATCATATTGAATGGGCAAAAGCTGGAAGCATTCCCTTTGAAAAACAGCACAAGACAAGGATGCCCTCTCTCACCACTCCTATTCAACATAGTATTGGAAGTTCTGGCCAGGGCAATCAGGCAAGAGAAATAAATAAAGGGTATTCAATTAGGAAAAGAGGAAGTCAAATTGTCTCTGTTTGCAGATGACATGATTGTATATTTTGAAAACCCCATTGCCTCAGTCTCAAAGTTCCTTAAACTGATAAGCAACTTCAGCAAAGTCTCAGGACACAACATCAATGTGTAAAAATCATAAGAATTCCTATACACCAATAACAGAGAGCCAAATCATGAGTCAACTCCCATTCACAATTGCTACAAACAGAATACAATACCTAGGAATCCAACTTACAAGGTATGTGAAGGACCTCTTCAAGAACTACAAACCACTGCTCAAGGAAATAAGAGAGGACACAAACAAATGGAAAAACATGCCATGCTCATAAATAGGAAGAATCAGTATCATGAAAATGGCCATACTGCCCAAAGTAATTTTTTTTTTTGAGACGAAGTTTCACTCGTGTTGCCCAGGCTGGAGAGCAATGGCGTGATCTTGGCTCACTGCAACCTCTGCCTGCTGGGTTCAAGCGATTCTCCTGCCTCAGCCTCCCGAGTAGTTGGGATTACAGGTGCCTGCCTCCATGCCCAGCTAATTTTTGTAATTTAATAGAGATGGGGTTTCACCATGTTGATCAGGCTGATCTTGAACTTCTGACCTCAGGTGATCCACCTGCCTCGGCCTCCCAAAGTGCTGGGATTACAGACATGAGCCACTGTGCCTGCCCAGAGTAATTTATAGATTCAATGCTATTCCCATCAAGCTACCATTGACTTTCTTCACATAATTAGAAAAAACTACTTTAAATTCCATATGGAACCAAAAAAGAGCCTGTATAGTCAAGACAATCCTAAGCAAAAAGAACAAAGCTGGAGGCATCATGCTACCTGACTTCAAACTATACTACAAGGCTACAGTAACCAAAACAGCTTGATACTGGTACCAAAACAGATATATGGACCAATGGAATAGAACAGAGGCCTCAGAAATAACACCACAAATCTACAACCATCTGATCTTTGACAAACCTGACAAAAAAAGCAATGGGGAAAGGATTCCCTTTTTAATAAATGGTGCTGGGAAAACTGGCTAGCCATATGCGGAAAACTGAAACTGGATCCCTTTCTTTTACCTTATACAAAAATTAATTCAAGATAGATTAAAGATTTAAACGTAAGACCTAAAACCATAAAATCCCTAGAAGAAAACCTAGGCAATTCCATTCAGGACATAGGCATGGGCAAAGACTTCATGACTGAAACAACAAAAGCAATTTGAACAAAAGCCAAAATTGACAAATGGGATCTGATTAAACTAAAGAGCTCCTGCACAGCAAAAGAAACTATCATCAGAGTGAATAGGCAACCTGCAGAGTGGGAGAAAATTTTCGCAATCTATCCTTCTGGCAAAGGGCTAATATCCAGAATCTACAAATAACTTAAACAAATTTACAAGAAAAAAACAAACAAGCCCATCAAAAAGTGGGCAAAGGATATGAACAGACACTTTTCAAAAGACGACATTTAAGCGGCCAACCACATATGAAAAAAAGCTTGTCATCACTGGTCATTAGAGAAATGCAAATCAAAACCACAAGGAGATACCATCTCACACCAGTTAGAATGGTGATAAGTAAAAAGTCAGGAAACAACAGATGCTGGAGAGGATGTGGAGAAATAGGAACGCTTTTACACTGTTGGTGGGAGTGTAAATTAGTTCAACCATTGTTGAAGACAGTGTGGTGATTCCTCAAGGATCTAGAACTAGAAATACCATTTGACCCAGCAATCCCATTACTGGGTATATACCCAAAGGATTATAAATCATTCTACTATAAAGACACATGTACATGTACGTGTATTGCAGCACTATTCACAACAGCAAAGACTTGGCACCAACCCAAATGCCCATCAATGATAGACTGGATAAGGAAAATGTGGCACATATACACCATGGAATACTATGCAGCCATAAAAAGAATGAGTTCATGTCCTTTGCAGGGACATGGATGAAGCTAGAAACCGTCATTCTCAGCAAACTAACACAGGAACAGAAAACCAAACACTGCATATTCTCACTCATAAGTAGGAGTTGAACAATGAGAACACATGGACACAAGGAGGGGAACATCACACACAGGAGCCTGTCAGGGGGTGGGGGCTAGAGGAGGGATAGCATTAGAAGAAATACCTAATGTAGATAACGAGTTCATGGGTGCAGCGAATCACCATGCCACATGTATATCTGTGTAACAAACCTGCACATTTTGCACATGTGTCCCAGAACTTAAGTATAATAAAAAATAAACACAAAAATTAGCTGGGGGTGGTGGTGCATGCCTCTGTAATCCCAGCTACTTGGGAGGCTGAGGCATGAGAATCGCTTGAACTGGGGGGAGGCGGAAGTTGCAGTGAGCCGAGATCGCACTACTGCACCGTAGCCTGGGTGACAGAGTTAGACTCTCAATAAATAAATAAATAAATAAATAAATAAATAAATAAATAAATAAATATAGGATTACAGAAAATGTATTTTTAAGTCTTAAATTTGAGGGTGGGGTACTGGGAAATGATGGCAGGGGCACTTAAATTGAAGTGTTGTATACTGTGTGAGACTCAGTGGACCCCTCTGGAGCCATTTTACTGGGCCCACTTTCTCTCCTTACTTTTCGATTGTAAGTGAGCGTGTTGCTAAAATGTCTGCCCCTGTGAGCTCTGAAGAAAGACTTAATATCTTAGCTATAATTTGAAGAGTTTGAATGCTGTCATGTTATTCTCCAACTCTGAAGTTTGTTTTGACTGGACCCTTATTTTCTTTAATAATTTTATGATTCAAGTAGAGGCATATATCTCAGAGCAGAGATATACACATTTGGGCTATGCCACGTGGGTAGGGAGAGGTAGAAAGCCATTGGCTAGAATATGTATGCAAGAAGTATGCAGTCCGAGTTGGGGAGTTTTATATTTCATCCTGAATCTATAATTGTCTTGGAAATATTGATCCTAAACCCGGGGATATTCCAATGTTATTACATTATGTTCAGGGCATAGGAAATTAACCAGCTGCATTGTAGCAAAGAAGTGTCTGTTAAGAAAGTATTCCAAGACAGAAAAAAATAATTTCAACTGAGTGTTTTTAGGAAATTTTTCTTCAGGAACCGCTGATTTGGAGGTTAAACCTTCTCATTTACTGGTAAATAACGTTTTGTTACCTGCCATAATATTTCAATTGGTTTTATGTTGAAATGCCTTAAGGTAAAATTTGACTTTCTATTTTATTCTTTAAATGAAGACTAATTTAATTTTGGGAGATAAAATTTGGGGAGATCATTATTATCTTCTCTCCTCAAATTTTACTTAATTTGGGGAGATAAAAATGAAAAAGGGTCTGATTTTCTCAAGTCTGGTGAAGTAGAAGTAGGAATTTTGTTTGTTTTATGAAGTAGGTAAGCACTGATAATTTGAGCTAGGTCATCCAGTGCCTTTAATTACTTATCTGAGCCATCTCAGAGTTTTTGAAATGCTAAACAAGACCAAACATTCAATAATAAACCATTATTCTAATTTGTATTAAAATATATTAAAACAAAGCATTTTTTTTACAGGAGAATTTTGGCTAGGACTGAAAAAGATTTTTTATATAGTAAATCAGAAAAATACCAGTTTTATGCTGTATGTGGCTTTGGAATCTGAAGATGACACTCTTGCTTATGCATCATATGATAATTTTTGGCTAGAGGATGAAACGAGATTTTTTAAAATGCACTTAGGACGGTATTCAGGAAATGCTGGTAAGATTTTTTTTATTCCTAAAATTATCCAGATCTAAATTATAACTGACTCATTATTAAGTGAAGATAAAAATAATGCATTTGTCTTTGTATATAACACATAACTGATAACAGGATAGATTAGGAATAAGAAAGCTGGCCAAGTCTTGAGTTTTGAAACTTTGTTATGATCATTGTACTACCTCATGCTTCTGAAGTGCTTTATAGTCTCTAAAACAATTTGCCTTATGTAATCTCAGTTGATTCTTTGGATAGAGAGCCTGTGGAGTAGGCTGTGAAGGCATTTTCATTTTCATGTTCAGAGAGGCTGACATTTAGAAGTGACAGACTGTTAGAGATGATCTCTAGTCATCTCACTTTACAGGTGAAAAAACCTGAGTGATAAAGTGACTTGCCCAACGTTCCCAGATCACGTCACCTGAGCCAAGGCAAGAATCCAGGCTGACAGAACAACAAGTTTAGTGTTTTTTCATTATACTTTGATGCATCTGCTCATTTCCAAATAAATTTAATTTGTCAGAACTTCAAAATACTTGATGTTAAACTTGCATTTTAATGCTGAAAATGTAAAGGCATTTGAGTTAAAAAGCACTAAATTCAACTCCCTTGTTGCTGTTTGTGGTACTTGTTCATTATGTATATTTAGTGTTAGAAATCAAAAAATAAATGATATATGTTCCCAGGTCTTTAACTGCTCCCAATATAAAGGGGAAGATAAGTAACACTGGAAATACAGAATACTGATAGAACTTTTGGGGTCAGAAAGAGGGTGAGAATGATTTCAGTTGATTGCACCCAAAAAATATTCATGGAAAAGCAATTTTTAACAAGCTGTTAATGTTAGATTCAACATGGGAAGCTTTTTAGAAGTATATATTCCTGTAGAATCTGATTCAGTTATTTTAAGCCAGATGGATATGTTGGCATACTTGTAGTTGAGAACCACTGATCTAGTCTTGGAAGAATGGTTAGGCTTTTAGCAAATGAAGGCTGACAAACAGAGCAGCTTAAGTTAAGGCATAGAGGGAGGAAAATTATAGGTCACAGAGAGTTGTCTGACATGGTTGGAATCTATGATACCTGAGGGGTTTACACTTGTGATATTAGGTGAAAGTCTGAAATTCCAATCATGATCTATAGGGAAAAGTTTAAAAAGTTACAATATATGATTTTCAATGCTTGCTCTCTAAAAGTGCAAAGAACTATCTAAAGGTGGAATATACTATATTAGGAAAAGTTTATGTGGGGATTCTCTGAAAGATGACTAGGATCTAATTAAAGGATAATATTGATAATGGCAAAAGTTTTTTCGTTACAAAAGTCTCAAATTTTGCCATACTGTACTCTACATTTTCCCAACAAGGTTATGAAGTAACTTTCAACTGTTGATCACATAATGTAATCAAAAGAATAAAAGAAAAAGGTGTCAGCAGAATGTAATGATAGAAATACAGATAAAACCAATGGGTTAAATGTGATCAGGTGTTTGGTAAAGGCAGGTCACAAATTTGGCTTTGAGCTTGGAGCAAAAACAGAGATATGAATTTGAATATTTGAGCAACACACTTGTTCCACGAGAATCCCAACTATTCCTGATTATAAGACTTGAGATAAATGTCTCTGGATTCTTAGGGAAAAGAAAAGTGTTATGTTCTCCAACCACACTCTCACAGAAAACATGATGGCTATATTATAATAGGCTATTTTTAAGGAAATAAGCCTATGCATATATTTTTTAAATGAATTAAATAAAATCTCTTGAGGAGCTTATGTGCTATATGATCCTTCTGGTGGTCGGACTTTATCTAGGGAGAGTATCCATGGAGTGATCACATTGTTTAGGCAATGCTCCATGGGTATTGTCTCTCACTGGAACTTTGGAAAAGTATCACACTGTGTGGGTGTTGGAGATTATATATTCTCTGAAAATACCTACAATGTGTGTGTTTTGTTTCCCATGAAGTGCAGAGTCAGAGACTTTAATAATCAGCAGAACTGGGGTATAGGATAGGCCACCACTGCTAATGAAGTTCTTCAGGCTCTTTCAAAAGATTTATCTCAAGAGATGCCAAACTTTCAGAAATAATGAAACAAACATAGAGCTTGGTTTCTCCACAGATTGCATATGGCTTCTTTTTTAAATTAGTGTTTCAAACATTAGCCAAAGCTTACATATAGGTGAAATGGAGGCATTATGGGTTTACTTAGAATCTTTAACTTTATGGAATTTTATGAAACAAAATATGACTCCTGCTCCTGCCACTGAGTTAACTGGGTCATCTTGGACAAGATACTTAATCATTGCAGGGTTATTGTAAATACGAGGGATACCATACATACAATGTTCAGGCCAGAAGCAGTGGATCACGCCTGTAATCCTAGCACTTTGGGAGGCCGAGGTGGGTGGATCACTTGAGGTCAGGAGGTCAAGACCAACCTGGCCAACATGGTGAAATCCCATCTCTACTAAAAATACAAAAATTAGCTGGGTGTGGTGGTGTGTGCCTGTAATGCCAGCTACTTGGGAGGCTGAGGCAGGAGAATCGCTTGACCCTGGGAGGTGAAGGTTGCAGTGAGCCGAGATCATGCAATTCCACTCCAGACTGGGGGGACAAGAGCAAAACTCTGTCTTAAAAACAAAACAAAACAAAATAAAACAATGTTCAGTAGAAGCCCTTTAAAAACGGTATTGTCTTAACTACTATCCAATTGGTCCATAAATCATGTGAAGAGCCGTGAAGAAAAGGTACACCTCAACAGTATATCTGAATTTTTCTTGAGGGCATTTGGTATTCTGTATAAAGTTGATGGCCCCTAGAAAAAAACCCCAACTTCTGTAACTGTAAATCTAAATTTCTTAAAGGTAAAAGTTTCTCTAGCTAAAGTGACATAAATGGTAGTGGTAAGGAAACCTACCCTGTGTAAATTAATTTTTTTCCTAAATTATCAATTATCATATTGGTCTGTCCAAATTATGACAGCTCTGTATGCTATAATTTTTGGCCTAAATTATCTGGTTTTGTCTACACAGCAAAACTCCATTTTGGACTGTGACTTTTATATCAAATATTTATTTAAAGATGTCTGTTGTGTTGGGGAACTCATCACCAGATTGTGGCATGTTGAATCTTCGAGTAGGAGAATTTTAACATGATAAACAGTAGGAAAATAATTTAAACCCTATTTCCAGATGTGGTGCTCTTGCCTAATATGCTGGTAATGATTAATTAAAATAATAGAAATTTCCTTTAAATTCGATCATTAAAAATTTTTTTCCCAGGTGATGCATTCCGGGGTCTCAAAAAAGAAGATAATCAAAATGCAATGCCTTTTAGCACATCAGATGTTGATAATGATGGGTGTCGCCCTGCATGCCTGGTCAATGGTCAGTCTGTGAAGAGCTGCAGTCACCTCCATAACAAGACCGGCTGGTGGTTTAACGAGTGTGGTCTAGCAAATCTAAATGGCATTCATCACTTCTCTGGAAAATTGCTTGCAACTGGAATTCAATGGGGCACGTGGACCAAAAACAACTCACCTGTCAAGATTAAATCTGTTTCAATGAAAATTAGAAGAATGTACAATCCATATTTTAAATAATCTCATTTAACATTGTAATGCAAGTTCTACAATGATAATATATTAAAGATTTTTAAAAGTTTATCTTTTCACTTAGTGTTTCAAACATATTAGGCAAAATTTAACTGTAGATGGCATTTAGATGTTATGAGTTTAATTAGAAAACTTCAATTTTGTAGTATTCTATAAAAGAAAACATGGCTTATTGTATGTTTTTACTTCTGACTATATTAACAATATACAATGAAATTTGTTTCAAGTGAACTACAACTTGTCTTCCTAAAATTTATAGTGATTTTAAAGGATTTTGCCTTTTCTTTGAAGCATTTTTAAACCATAATATGTTGTAAGGAAAATTGAAGGGAATATTTTACTTATTTTTATACTTTATATGATTATATAATCTACAGATAATTTCTACTGAAGACAGTTACAATAAATAACTTTATGCAGATTAATATATAAGCTACACATGATGTAAAAACCTTACTATTTCTAGGTGATGCCATACCATTTTAAAAGTAGTAAGAGTTTGCTGCCCAAATAGTTTTTCTTGTTTTCATATCTAATCATGGTTAACTATTTTGTTATTGTTTGTAATAAATATATGTACTTTTATATCCTGATCAGCTGCATTCTAAAATACGTCTTTATCTGAACTCTTTTTGAACCAGTAGGAATGGTTTGTAGTTTACATGAAGGATGGTCGATAAAACAGTGATGAATCAATTCTAGATATACTCTAGGAATAAGCTGGTCCCCTCTACTTTTTCTACAAAGGTGGAGGGAATTGGATGGTAAGGATTCCTTAGGAGAGGACAGCAGGGAACATGCAGGGCCAAGTGTCAGTTACTGATAAGAGAGACAAGGGAAATGATCAAGAATTAGTTTTGAATAGAAGGTACTTTGTCCAGAGTTAGGGTTATATAATACTCAAGGGAGGGGAAAAGTGGCTGAAAAATTAAGTGGGAAGAGGATTGAATAAAAGTAAGTTTGAGGATATAGATGTCAGGGTGACATAGCTAAGCCCAGAATAGAACCAGAATCTGATTTGGGTTCAGGGATGGACAAAAATGATAATAAGGTCGTCATTTAAGGTGCTTTCACTTTGATATCCTCTGAAAGCAGTGAATACATCGTGAACAGGATTACATGAGATGATTACATGAGATAAGATTGCAGGAGGGTGCACATGGATTCCCATGGTCTCCAATGCATATCACAGAGGCACAGCTGAGGTTGTATCTTGGCAGTGGAGTCAGATGCGTGCCAGGTTGGAGAAGCACAGAACTGCCTTTTATATCGGTAATGATATGAGCACCACGAGGCAAATTCCCCTACAAATCAAGGCAATAATTTTGTTGCTTAGCAAGCCAATCTGTTGTTTTGAATCTGGGCCTTGAAATCTTTGCTGAGCTGGGACAGAGGCAATCTCCCTTATGGTACTGCAAGAGATAGGGGCTTCACATTTTTATCCCATCTAAAGCCTATGGAAATGATGGAAAAATTGAGGATGAAAGCAGAATGGGAATCAATGGAATACTGAATGGAAAGATGGACCCAGAGAGCAGTGAGAAATTTTAATTTTGGGGGGCTTTGGAGTGGAAAGATATATTTGACTTATAATTGACTAACCATGGACAACATTACTTCCAGGATGCCTTGTGAGATGCTTTAAAAGTATTAAGAGGTCTCAAACCCTATTGCAAATGAGAAGGTATATTTCAGGTCATAATCCTGAGCCTCAGATACTCAGACCTGACTCTTAGGAGATGTTAAGGGATAAGGGCAATTGTCTTTCGTTCCCTTCCTTCCTTCTTTCTTTTTCTTTCTTTCTCTTTCTTTCTTTCTTTCTTTTTTCTTTCTTTTTCTTTCTTTCTCTTTCTTTCTTCTTTCTTTCTCTTTTTTCTTTCTTTCTTTCTCTTCCTTTCTTTTTTCTTTCTTTCTTTTTTCTTCTTTCTTTCTCTTTCTTTTCCTTTCTTTCTTCTTTCTTTCTTTTTCTTTCTTTCCTTTCCTTCCTTTCTTTCCTTTCCCTCCCTCCCTTCCTTCCTTCCTCTTTCTTCCTTTCTTTCTTTTTCTTCTTTTTTCCCTCTCTCTTTCTTTCTCTTCTCTTTCTCTTTCTTTCTTTCTTTCTTTCTTTCTTTCTTTCTTTCTTTCTTTCTTTCTTTCTTTCTTATCTACTTCCCCAGTAGCATGTACATGTGCCTTGGAAGTAGGCATAATAGGTAGCAGTCACATGCTGATAGTCTGAATGACATCTTTTTAGAGTCATTCTTTCAGATTCTGAAGACTTCTCTGGCTAACTGGTCCTGTTTAAAAATATAAATGCTTTATTCTTTCATTCACTTACACTTTAATGGTCAGTAAACACTCTGTGTCCTGTTGGAAGAAAACCCCCCAGCAATATATAGATCCAATAGCTTCTCTTTACGCCAGCATAGATTAAGTATAAACAAAAAAAGTTAACTTACTGATAATAGCTTTGAGAGCTATAGTACTCAGAGGTAGGCTAAAGGCAAGTAATGACCTATTTAAAAATATTTCTACAACATGACAGAAAACACATAAACAACTAGAAGTAGCAACACACATCATAGTCTTCAAATAGAAGACTTGATGCAAAGGGCCCTGGATGTGTGAAGTTGAGTAGTGGGTGTGAGAACCAAGGGTGGTTTGGAGATGCAGGAACAATGTGTAAGGACGATTTGGGTATTACTTAGGATCTTGCTGATGCACCCCAGCAATGTCCTAGGTAGACAGGACATAGGTTTTTTTTGTGTGTGTGTGTGTGTGTGTGTGTGTGTGTATGTGTGTGTGTGTGTGTGTAAATGACTGGCTTGTTTCATGAGGGTTGGTTGCACAGACTATTTAATCACCCAGGTATTAAGCCTGATATCCATTAGTTATTTTTCTTGCTTCTCTCCCTCCTCCCACCTTTCACCCTCTGATAGGCCCCAGGGTGTGTTGTTCCCCTCTATGTGTCAGTGTGTTCTCATCATTTAGCTCCCACTTGTTAGTGAGAACATGGAGTATTTGGTTTTCTGTTCCTGCATTAGTTTGCTAAGGATAATGGCCTCCAGCTCCATGTTTGTCCCTGCAAAGGACACAATCTTTTTCTTTTTTATGACTGCATAGTATTCCATGAGGTATATGTACCACGTTTTCTTTATCTAGTTTATCACTGATGGATCCCACTAATCTTAATGAGCAGTGTGCTCTGGGAGGGCAATTTTGTAACAGTATGGGCTTTGTGGTTGAGGGGGTGGCCTGGTTTGAAAGAGGAGCTCACTGAAGTGCAGTGGCTGGCACCAGGCTGCTCTTTCTGTCTAGCCACCACAGAAAAGGGACAATGAACCTCCCGGACTATTCAGATCTGTCTCCAATGTAATCCATACACTTAACATGAAAGAGCAATAGAACTTTTTTTTTAATTTTGAGAAAATTTAAAGTACTGTAAGTGTGATTAACGAGAACAAATAATATGATGGAATAGGAATTGATGGAGTTCTGATATATTGGTTGTGAAAGTATACTACAAACATATTAGTTTTTTATTGCTGCGTGACAGATTACCACAAATTTAGTGGCTTAAAAGGACTCTCAACTATTAGCTTACAGTTTTGAAACTCAGAAGTCTGGCAAAGGTTGTGTGCGTTCTCTGCTCAGAGAATGATGGGGCTAAATCAAGGTGTCATCCAGGTTGAGTTCTCATCTTGGTTCGGGGTCCCCTTCCCTGCTCATTTATTGGCAGAACTCATTTCCTTGTGGTTATAAGATTCAGGACCTTGTTGTCTCTCTAGCTGTGGGTGGGACTGCTTTCAGCTTCTAGAGTTGGCCTGCTGTTCCTTAACATGGGATCTCCAATTTACAGGATGAATATTTGCTTTCTTCCAGGTCAACCAGAACACATCTCTCTATCTATTACCTCTGCTGCCAGCCAGACCAGCCAGAGAAAACTAGCTGCTTTTAAAGGGCTCATGTGGTTAGGTCAAGTCACCTGCATAATCCTATCTTAAGGGTAACTGGTTTGGAAACTTAATTGCATTTGGATATCCCTCCAAGGCAGTATATGGATTGGTGTTTAACTGAATAACTGGGAGAAGGTGTGTGCATGTAAGCTGTGAGAAATATTGGAGGCCATCTTAGAATTCTTCCTACCACAATAAAACTACAAAATTAAAATGTGTGTAATAAGGAAAACAGAGAGGTCAGTAAAATACTTGACTATGTCTATAACTTGATAGAAATACGTTATGCAGAATATAGAAAACGTAGAGTTTTATATTAGTGGGAGAAGAGAAAAATGGATAAATGGTAATTGGGAAAATGGTTAAAAACTTGAAAATAAAAAGGAATGCTGTATTGCATAGAAATTAATTACAGATCGATTAAATACACTAAAAAACAAAATTAATGTTAGGCAAACATACGAGTTAATCTTTTTATTTCCAAGGCAGAAAGATTTCATTTGATTACTTGAATATTTGAAGGCTCCATATACCCCAAACACTGTAAGGAAAATTAGAGACAAGGGAGAAACTAGAAAAAGTATTTGAACAAATGACAGATTCTATTTCTTATATATGATTCACTCTAAAATATAAGAAAAGAACATCCTTATAAGATAGGCAAATGACATGAAAAGCAATCTCCATAATATAAATGGTCAATATACATAAAATTATCTCATGAGTTATCATAAAAATTAAGACCTAATGTCAGCTTTTACATGAGGTAACACTCAGTGTTTGTACAGAAGCCAAGAAGTGGGCTTACTCCTACTTTTATTGTCATGTAAATTGATACAACCTTGTTGAAGGGTACATTTCATACTTGTCTAGGTCTGAGGAATAGTCAGGAGAAAACAGCTTATCCCAGTTTTATATAACATAGCCACATACACATGATTATGAATATTCTATCATAGTTAGCATTTAGTGTTTATTCTGTGCCTGACACTGTGCTAAATATTATGCGTGGATCTCATTTAGTCCTTAGAAAATCCTATGAGTTAGGTATTATTCTCACTTTTCTGATGAAGACAACTGAATCCAATTTATAACTACGGCAATCTCACTTATGTGAGGGTGAACTGGAGTTTGAACCCCATCAACCTTTTCAACTCCATCTACCGTGCTGACACAGTCAGGTGTGGGGGGCAGTGTGGCAGCCCCCATATGGCTGGCCCTGCTCTGGCTGCTTCTAACCACTGGTCCCTATTGTGCTATTATGCAGTGAATGTTCTTATAAGTTAACGACAACTGAATCCTTATGTTAGTTCTGAAATAGGTTTTCAGTGATGTTATAAAGAAAGAGTTTGCAAGGCCGTATGGTGATGTAACAACAGGAGATAGGTAGTTAGGTGTTTAGGTACGTGTAATAAATAGTAGGAGATAGATAGTTAGGTTTTGTGAAAACAAAACCAAAACTTCATTGTCTGTTGAAATTAGCCTAAACCAGGCTTGCCATCAGACTCATAGTTATTGCTCACTATCCAAGAAATTATATAAGAGGCTCACAGGACATGTGCTTTCAATTCAAATAAACAAGACTAGAAAAGCTTTGAAAAATAGAAACGAGAAAAGTTGGTAATATTAAAGCATATAAAAGGCTATTTTCATTTCATTGTTCAGAGTATTATAAATCGAATGTATTCATGCTTTTTGTTTTCTATAAGAGTAGAGTGTAAGAAGTCAGATACTTGTTACGTGGTGCTTAAGAACTTAATGCATTAAGCAGCTGGGAATAAAACAAGATGTATCATTTTCCACTAATGCCTAAGACATTTTATATTTCAGCAATGTTAGTCTTCTGAAAGTGAAACAAACGCAATAATGAAAACTTTGGTTTTTCCCAAGTTGTACAAATTTCTTTCCCTGTATTGTCAGTTTCAAAGAAATATCCAAAGATAAAAGAAATATCCAAAGAAGAAACATGAATCCATGGATCAGAAGGGGTTTTTGTTGTCTCTGAGAATTCTCCGGAAGGAATCCCTGCCTAAGGCTCTTGTGGTCCATGGTGGCCTCTCATTTCACCTGAGCAAGTGGGAAGGACTGGCTGCTGGGGTTGGGGTACTGTCTGAATGCAGGGCTCAGAGAGCTATGTGACTCTAGGTGGTGAGCTCTAGAATGTGGCCATGAGAGTGAGTGAAAAATACGGGATAGTATTTAGTCTTGGGAAGTGAGGAGGCCAGATAATTGAGGCACCAGAGTCTGTGTGTCAAAACCTCCTGGAGGGATGGAAGGTCTTAACATAGAGAGGAAAACTGAGCTGTGTGGTCAATCCTCGAATGAATAAAGCTGGGTGGCCAGGCAGTTAGACAACTAGTATAGGTGGGCCTGGGAGTTCATTTTAAGTTAATTGCAAGGGTTGGTTCTTTCTCGATATACAAGAAATTGTCTTGCTATTTGCTAGACTATCGTCTCTCTATGCAGGAGATAATCTTATAAGTTAATGGCATGATTTAAGAGCTCATTTCTAAGGATTATCAATCTTTTTGCACCTAAGTAAGTTACCTGTACTCAAATTCTTGTTTTTGGGTTTACTTTTCGATAAATCCAAACTAAGAGAGATAACAAATATGACATTTTCACTATGTTGTCTGACATCCATATGTCAGAGTTCAAGAATTGTTACCTTATCAGGTTGACTAGGCCACCCATTGGTATGAGTTAGATAGTTGTTTTCACTGCATGGTCTCAGAAATGAGCTCATATACAAGGCAGCAGGATGTCTGAGATTGGGGGAACAAAATCTTGTTCTAAGATTCCCAAGCATCTTGGCTGGAAGATAAGTCTTGTGACAGCTGCTAGAGAAGTTGACAACTCTCTGATAATCTGCCTTCATTCTTTTTATTTCCTGAGAACTTGGGCCCAGAAGTCTTCTAGATTCTCCCATGTGGGCCCATTCAGGTCTGCCCACACTAGACTTAGTATTTATTTCCCCAGACAGGTTTGAGTCCAGATGTGAGAATGGTTAAAATCAGCAGTTTGTAAATTGTGGCCCACAGGCCAAATATGGCCCATATTTGTGATTTTTTTTGTCCAATAAAGTATAATTGGGACACAGATATACTCATTCATTTGAATATTGTCTATGCCTTCTTTCATGCTATAAGGGTAGAGTTGAGAAGTTCCCACGGAGACCGTACGGTCTACAAAGGTGAACATACTTACTATTTTGTCCTTTACATAAAAAGTTTGCTGAATTGTGGATTAGATTTGAGATGGGAAATTGGAAGAGGATCTGTGAGAGATCAAGCTCACTGGGCAGAAAAGAAGCCAGAGAGGTACTTGGTGCTGCAGCCTACGTGGTTCATGTAAGGGGATATGGATTACAGGACTGGTGCTGGCGAGGCTCAATTTCTGGTCATAAGTTTCCAGTCTCCTTGAGAGAGGTATCAGACTGGGTAAAGCGGCATCCAAACAAATCCTCAAAGACTCTGGATTCTAAAAAGACCCGCTGTTTATGGCTCTTTATCCCAGAATAGGTCAACATTCCTTGAGGAATACTGAAAGGAATTCTTTAGGAGGCTTCTGAACTTACTAACAGGGCATCTGGGGTGAAAGGCCCACCTTCCCAGTTAGGGAATCACTACCTTTCTACAGCTTTCCCACCCAACATACCCTCATAAGGACTGTTTGCAGTCCCATTAAATCCCCCTATTTATAGGTTTTCTGCCCCTTTCTATATACTAGGGCTTTCAGGCCCCATTATTCTGGAGGAGAAAAATGCTCAGTTTACAGGGAGAGATATGTGCCTGATGGAGAACACTAGGTTATACTAAAGGGACTTCCCAATCTCAGACTAGAACCTGTGTCTTACTCTAAATACTAAATTCTTACTCTAAATACTAAAATTTCTCTAACCCAATCCTTCTCTTTATCAATAGGAATAAGTGGGGGTCAGGTGGTGGGCTTCTGTTCCCTGAGGAATAGTCCATAGGAATATCTTTAGCTTTCTCTGGCAGACAACAAATATTCAGGACTGTTTTCAGGGATCAGGAAGCAGTTACACTAGTTGATAAAACTTTCTGTGTCTTTGGGAAGGGTTTTTCCCCCAACTAAGATACAATGGATCATTCCAGGGAATTGCTGTTGGTTCCCTAGAGGATGCTCCTAGAGTATGGCAAATGATTTCATTAGGATGTTGTAAATGTCTGATTCTTTTCAAGCCCCAATAGATTTGGCCTCAAGTTCTTGGGTCTCTGCAAAAATTCAACATATTCATCTATTTTCAAATATTCTTCCCTCAAGTAGGTAGTATATTGTAAGTCTGCACATACAAATAAGGATGAGCTTCTCTGAATTTCATTGAGTACTAACCCTTGGCCATGTTCTGCTTTGAACTTGAGGTGCTCAGGCTGTTGAGAGGAGGTAGGTCACCCTAGTGCCGTGCTGCTATGTCTCTGAACTGGTTCTGAGGGTAACAGAACTTTGCTTGGGTTAGCAGTTCCTTGGTGTTGACTTCTTTTGGGACCAGTCCTTTCCCTAACTTGTTAATGTCTTCAGGCAAATCTTATATTCCAGAGAACAAAATTAGCTCTATAGGGGTTCTTCTTCTTTATACTGATTCTTGATGAACTTTACATGAGAAGGCTCCTGGAAACCTCTTGGCTTCAGCTGCAAGTTTTAGAGATCAGGCACCTAGGTTTTACCTATAAATGGCTCATGACTGGTGGTCTTTCTTGACCCTTACATAGATATTCACCTCAGGTTTTCCCCTTTCACAAAGAATGAGATCTGCCTTTTGTCATCAACCAGAAGTGATCTAGATGGAAAAAATCTGGCAATGGCTGCCTCTTACTATTCTTATTGGAAAAACTGGCTTTGCTGATTGAGGTAACCCACTCATCCTTGTTCCTTCCCTTCCCTGAAAAGATAGCAATGAGCCTTGGAGACTTGAGGAATGTGGCATGATGTTTGGGCTCATGGGCAGCAAAACTAGAAAGAAGAGTGGAACCAAATGAATCTTGGATGGTGGTGTTCATCACTTGTCCTGAGTACTACACATGTACATTTTAGTTGCTCTTTTCAGTCCTCATCTTTGTGTCCTTCTTTTTTCAGGATTTGAAGACCTGTTGTGGCAGCAGCAAGCCAGTCTCATGCTGCATGGATGGGTAAAGACTATATGTGAAAGTCCTTCTGCTCTAGTATTGGTTGATTCTCAGGTAGCTTTTTTTCTTTGCTACTAGTATTTGGTATGGTGAACAGAGAGGTTTATAGGAATGGGTCCACTGTTCTCAGCCCACTGAACTTACATGGATTGTTACACTGATGGGTTATTATTAAAATCATTCTCAACACAATGATGGAACTACTGAATCAGGCTTGAAGCACTTAAACATCTAGATCTATGAGGTAGTCACTTGATCTGTTCTCTGTGACTCCTGGGAGACAAAGTAGCAAATGTAAGAAGCCATGTGTGCTCATTTCTGCTTGAATAATTTTACAAAGCCAGGACTCTGTGATGACATGCAGCTCTCTGGAAACATGCTTGGAGGGCAAAACAGGATAGAACACACAGCCGCCCACGTCTCTGGACTGAATCAGTACATCCCTTAAAAGATACATAATTCTAATTCTTGCCTTTCCTTACACATAACATCTGACAGGATTAGTGATTATGTGTGTGCAATCTATAACCAAATGTACTTTAGTAAACTATAACCAGATGTACTCTTACTCCCAAACTTTGATGTAATTTTGCATGTACTGAATCTTTACCACCTGTATATAAGCTTTGAACTAAAATACTGCATCAAAGTAGTCTGATAGAACTGCACCTGGACTGTAGCCTTTGGTCTACAGCCCTCAGTAAGACTTCTGAATAAAACTAACTTTAATGCTTTAAAAGCTTGATTTCTTTTTTGTTTAGTGAACAATCCTGACAACCACGAAGGAACTCACAGTGGACTGCCCAGGGTTGTCTGGAACATTGTGGGGATCCAGCACCTTGGGGCCAGCATCTGCCCTCTGAGTCCCTCCAACTTCTTCGTGGTTGGAGACAACTGGGTGACTCTCCCTTGAATCTCAGATCTCCTACTTTGTTTCTGGTCCTGAGTTTTATTCATCTAGTTGTTTTGACTCCTTGACAAAGAGGTAAGTTCTTCCTTGAGATATTTTGTTTCTCCAGAAGGGAAATTTTCCTAGTTGAAAGTTACTAGGAAGAAATGGCTGCATGTATAACACACATGGAAACTGTACTGCCAAGTAACTCCCTAGATGGGAGGAGTTTACCAAAGGAGATGAGGGTTGAAAAATTCCACCTTTGACACAATATTCGTTATTTGGGTGATGAGTATACTTGAAGGACAAACCTCATCATTAAGCAATATATCCATGTAACAAACCTCCACAGTTACCCCCTGAATCTATAATAAAAATAATAAGTCTGAGGTGGGGGGATCCCTTGAGCCTGGGAGGTTGAGGCTGCAGGGAGCCGTGTTCATGCCACTGCACTCTAGGCTGGGTGACAAAGTGAGACCCTGTCTCTAAATAAATAAATAAAGAAACAAGTGTATGTTACAGTTTTTAAAAAATTATTATCATGTTTTTCTCCCAATCTTTAACTTACTTTAATGCTTTAACTCACTTAAGTATGTACTGCTATATATTATCTGTAGTATCCTCATAATAATCCTATTGAGGTGTTGTGTTAGGTGCAAGAGAAGGCAACGTCAGGAAACCTGGCTTATGCTAATTAAGATAAGATGCGATCTGAAGCATGTTTTTCAATAAATAGGCAAGTATGCACACTGGGCTCAATGTTCATTCCGTATAACCGCAACTGAAGACTATCAACCTTCCTGGAAAAGAGCCTTCCTAACTATGTGGAATAATTAGCATTGGTCTTATAAATACAACCAGGTGATTGATTTGTGACCAAAAGGGGGAGCTTGTGAGACAAAGAAGCAAATGTAAGAAGCCATATTTGCTCATTTCTGTTTGCCAGCATAATTTCACAAAGCCCCTGACTCTGTGATGACCTGCAGTTCTCCGAAAAGATGCTTTGGAAACAAAAACAGGCTCCAAGTCTCTTACCTAAGTCACCACATTCCTTAAAAGAGAAATGATCCTAGTCCTTGCCTTTTCCTGTACACAAAATGACACCTAACAGGGTTAATGATTATGCTTCTACAATCAATAACCAAATGTCCTTTAGTAATCCATAACCAGATATACTCTTACACCCAAACCTCTTTAAGTGGCTAGACTTATTTAAAAGTGTCCTACTAGCTTATTACCAGCATGTTAGCTATTAGTCTTTTTGTATTTGAGTTTTGGTCTGAAGAATTATTCAGTTATAACTGGTGTTTAAAGATTCACAACTATCTCTGATTTTTTTGATTTGCACATTAAGGGAGCAGGCATGGGTAGTCTCAGTTTATAAGCTCAGGTTCTTGTTCTGGGCCAAGGTGGGAGGTGGATGGGCTATCTGAGAAGAAAACGATGTGATTTATGGTGCAGGACATGGGACTGGGATTCAGTGGAGAGCTTCATTAGGTATCTACTGACATGGATGATGGAGATCCAGGAGAAGCCCCTTCTTGTAGCCAGATGTCTTTTTTGTGTCAGTAACTTCAGAGCCTTTTTAAGGGTGTGTGAGGGGTCTCAACTGCAACTACCTCTGGCAGTTCAGAAAAACTTGGTACCAGATAAACTTCCTTTTTGAAGAAACATGAACCACATAATGGTCCTGTCTTTAAGTCCCTCAGGAGGGTGGGTCTGCCTCAGGGGCGAGCATGGATTACACATAACTCGAAAAATATCCAGGCTCTTTTGGAGGGAGACCAAAAGAATTAATAGTTTCCAAGCTCTGTCCTCCCTCTGTCCTTAAGGATACATTTTCCTCTCGGGGTCTATGAATCCTGAAAATTTGTGGCAGGTCTCAGTTAATTTAGAAAGTTTATTTTGCCAAGGTTGATGATGCGCCTGTGACACAGCCTCAGGAAGTCCTGATGACATGTGCCCAAGGTGGTCAGGGCACAGCTTGGTTTTACACATTTAGGGATACATGAGACATCAATTAAGAAGCACATTTGTTCAGTCTGGAAAGAGGGGACAACTTGAAGCAAAAACAGGAAGACTTGAAGTGGGGAGGGAGCTTCCAGTTCACAGATAGGTGATACACAAATGGCTACATCTTTGGAGTTTCCAATTAGCCTTTCCAAAGGAAGCAAATCAGATATGCATCTATATCAGTGAGCAGAGGAGTGACTTTGAATAGAATGGGAGGCAGGTTTGCCCTATACAGTTCCCAGCTTGAGTTTTCCTGAGTGATTCTAGGGGCCCAAGATATTTTCTTTTCACGGGTACCAGGGCCCAACAACTATAGAGCTAGTTTGCGAAATGTGTCTTAGTTGGCAAAAGCTTTACTGTGTCATTGTGATTTTGAACTATAGTCATACACTGCATAATGACCTTTTGGTCAAAGACAGACTGAATACATGATGGTAGTCTTATAAGATTATGAAGGTGCTGAAAAGTTCCTCTCATCTAGTAACATCATAGCCATCATAAAGTGGTGGCAGAGTACATTACTCATGTGTTTGTGGTGACGTTGATGCAAACAAACCTACTGTACTGCCAGTCATGTAAGTCTAGCACATATAATTATAAAATGTACATAATACTTGATAATGATAATAAATGACTGTTATTGGTTTAGGTATTTACTATATTATACTTTTTATTGCTATTTTAGATGATTGTACTTCCTCTACTTATATATAAAAAGGTTAACTGTAAGACAGGCTTGGGGGCGTCACTCAGGAGATATTCTAGAAGAAGGCATTGTTATAATAGGAGATGACAGCTTCATGTATATTATTGCCATTGAAGATCTTCCAGTGGGGCAAGACATGAAGGAGAAAAATACAATGCTATTAATAATCCTAACCTTGTGTGGGGCTAGGCTAATGTGTGTGTTGGGGTATTAGTTTGTAACAAAAAAGCTTAAAAAGTAAAAGATGAAAAAAAAATTAGGCTTGGCATGGCAGCTTATGCCTGTAATCCTAGCACTTTGGGAGGCCAAGGCAGGCAGATCACTTGAGGTTAAGCATTTGAAACCAGCCTGGCCAATATGGTGAAACCCCATCTCTACTAAAAATACAAAAAAATTTAGCTGGGTGTGGCGGTGCATGCCTTCAATCCTAGCTACTCAGAAGGCTGAGGTGGGAGGATTGCTTGAACCCAGGAAGTGGAGGTTGGAGTGAGCCAAGATCACTCCACGGCACACTCCAGCCTGGGCGACAAAGCGAGACTCCATCTCAAAAATAAATAAGTAAATAAAAAATTAAAAAGGCTTATAGAATAAGGATATAAAGGATATATTTCTGTGCAGCTGTATCATATATTTGTGTTTAAATTGTGTTTAAAGCTAAGTGTTATTATATTTCAAAAAGTTTACACAATCAAATTAGAACTCAAGGTTAAGAAACTCTGTCAAAACCATACAACTACATGGAAACTGAACAACCTACTCCTGAATGACTCCTGGGTAAATAATGAAATTAAGGCAGGAATTCAGAAGTTCTTTGAAACCAATAAGAACAAAGAGACAGTGTACCAGCATCTCTGGAACACAGCTAAGGCATCATCAAGAGGGAAATTTATAGCACTAAATGCGCACGTCAAAAAGGTAGAAAGATCTCAAATCAACATCCTAATGTCACTACTGAAAGAACTAGAGAGCCAAGAGCAAACAAACGCCAAAGCTAGCAGAAGACAAGAAATAACCAAGATCAGAGCAGAACTGAAGGCAACAGAGACACAAAAAACCCTTCAAAAAAACAATGAACCCAGGAACTGGTTTTGCAAAAATTAATAAAATAGATCATTAGCTAGACTAATAAAGAAGAGAAGAGAGAAAAATCAAATAGATACAATAAAAAGTGATAAAGCAGATATCATCCTGACCCCACAGAAATACAAACAATCATTTGAGAATACTATAAACACCTCTATGCAAATAAACTAGAAAACCTGGAAGAAATGGATAAATTCTTGGACACATACACCTTCCCAAGACTGAACCAGGAAGAAGCTGAATCCCTGAATAGACCAATAACGAGTTCTGAAATTGAGGCAGTAAGAAATAGCATAAAACCCAAAAAAACCCAGGACCAGATGGATTTACAGCTGAATTCTACCAGAGGTACAAAGAGGAGCTGGTACCATTTCTTCTGAAACTATTCCAAACAATTGAAATGGAGGGACTCCTCCCTAACTCATTCTATAAGGCTAGCATCATCCTGATATCAAAACCTGGAAGAGAAACAACAACAACAAGCAAACTTCAGGCCAATATCCCTGATGAACATCGGTGAAAAAAATCCTCAAAAAAACACTGGCAAACCAAATCCAGCAGCACATCAAAAAGCTTATCCACCACAATCATGTTGGCTTCATCCCTGGGTTGCAAGCCTGGTTCAACATATGCAAATCAATGAACATAATCCATCACATAAACAGAACTAAAGACAAAAAACACATGATTATCTCAATAGATACAGAAAAGACCTTCAGTAAAATTCAACATTCCTTCATGTTAAAAACTCTCAATAAACTAGGTATTGATGGAACATACTTCAAAGTAATAAGAGCCATTTACGACAAACCCACAGCCAATACTATACTGAATGGGCAAAAGCTGGAAGCATGCCCCTCAAAAACCAGCACAAGACAAAGATGCCCTCTCTCACCACTTTTATTCAACATAGTATTGGATGTTCTGCCAGAACAATCGGGCAAGAGAAAGAAATAAGGGGTATTCAAATAGAGAGGAAGTCAAACTGTCTCTGTTTGCGGATGACATGATCCTATATCTAAAAAACCCCATTGTCTCAGCCCAAAAGCTTCTTAATCTGATAAGCAACTTCAGCACAGTCTCAGGATACAAAATCAATGTGCAAAAATCACAAGCATTCCTATACACTGACAATAGACAAGCAGAGAGCCAAATCATGAGTGAACTCCCATTCACAACTGCTACAAGGAGAATAAAATACCTAGGAATACAACTTACAAGGGATGTGAAGGACCTCTTCAAGGAGAATGACAAACCACTGCTCAAGGAAATAAGAGAGGGCACAAACAAATGGAAAAACATTCTATGCTCATGGATAGGAAGAATCAATATCGTGAAAATGGCCATACTGCTCAAATGTATAGATTCAATGCTATTCCCATTAAACTACTATTGACATTCTTCACAGAATTAGAAAAAAACTACTTTAAATTTCATATGGAACCAAAAAAGAGCCCATATAGTCAAGAAAATCCTAAGCAAAAAGAACAAAGCTGAAGGCAACACACTACCTGACTTCAAACTATACTAAAAGGCTACAGTCAAAACAGCATGGTACTGGTACAAAACCAGACACATAGATTAATGGAACAGAATACAGAACTCAGCTATAAGACTGCACATACTACAAGGTTACAGTAACCAAAAGAGCATGGTACTGGCACAAGAACTGACACATAAACCAATGGAACAGAATAGAGAACTCAGAAATCAGACTGTACATCTACAACCATGTGATCTTCAACAAACCTGACAAAAACAAGCAATGGGGAAAGGATTCCTTATTTAATAAATGGTGCTGGGAGAACTGGCTAACCATATGCAGAAAATTGAAACTGGACCCCTCCTTTATACCTTATACAAAAATTAACTCAAGATGGATTAAAGACTTAAGTGTAAAACCCAAAACTGTAAAAACCCTAGAAGAAAATCTAGGCAATACCATTCAGGACATAGGCATGGGCAAAGATTTCATGACAAAAATGTCAAAAGCAATTGCAATAAAAGCAAAAATTGACAAATGGGCTCTAATTAAACTAAAGAGCTTCTGCACAGCAAAATAAACTATCATCAGAGTGAGCGACAACCTAGAGAAATGGATAAAATTTCTGCAATCTATCTGACAGAGGTCTCATATCCAGAATCTACAAGGGAAACTTAAACAAATTTACAAGAAAAAAACAAACAACCCCATCAAAAAGTGGGCAAAGGACATGAACAAACATTCTCAAAATAAGACATTTATGCAGCCAGGAAACATAAAAAAAGCTCAACATCACTGTTCATTAGAGAAATGCAAATCAAAACCACAGTGAGATACCATCTCATGCTAGTCAGAATGGCAATTATTAAAAAGTCAAGAAACAACAGATGCTGGTGAGGTTGCAGAGAAATAGGAACCCTTTTACACTGTTGGTGGGAATGTAAATTAGTTCCATTGTGAAAGACAGTGTGGTGATTTCTCAAAGACCTAGAACCAGGAATACCATTTGACCCAGCAATCCCATTACTGGGCATATGCCCAAAGGAATATAAATCATTCTATTAGAAAGATATATGCATACTTATGTTCATTGCAGCACTATTCACAATAGCAATGACACGGTATCAACCCAAATGCCCATCAATGATAGACTGGATCTATCATTGGTACATATACACCAAGGAATACTATGCATCCATAAAAAGCAATAAGATCATGTTCTTTGCAGGGACATGGATGGAGCTGGAAGCCATCATCCTCAGCAAACTAACACAGGAACAGAAAACCAAACACCACATGTTCTCACTTATAAATGGGAGCTGAACTATCCAAACACATGAACACAGAGGGGAACAACACACACTGAGACCTGTCGAGTGGGGCATGGAGAGGGAGAGCATCAGGAAAAATAGCTAATGCATGCTGGGTTTAATATCTGGGTGATGGGTTGATAGGTGCAGCAAACCACCGCGGCACATGTTTACCTATGTAACAAATCTGCACATCCTGCACATGTATCTTGGAACTTAAAATAAAATTTAAAAAACCCCAAAAATCTGAAAAAATGAGAGCTTAAAAAAATTACAAAGTTTATGGCCAGGCATGGTGGCTCACGCCTGTAATCCCAGCACTTTGGGAGGCTGAGGTGGGCGGATCACCTGAGGTCGGGAGTTTGAGACCAGCCTGACCAACATGGAGAAACCCCATCTCTACTAAAAATACAAAATTAGCCGGGTGTGGTGGTGCATGCCTGTAATCCCAGCTACTCGGGAGGCTGAGGCAGGAGTATTGCTTGAATCTGGGAGGTGGAGGTTGCGGTGAGCTGATATCGCGCCGTTGCACTCCAGCCTGGGTAACAAGAGTAAAACTCCGTCTCAAAAAAAAAAAAATTAGAAAGTTTATAAAATAAAGAAGTTACAGAAGTTGCTTACTTGTTACTGAAGAATGAAAAGTATTTAAAAATAAATGTAGTGTAGCCTGTGTACAGTATTTATAAAATCAACAATAGTTAACAGTAATATTCTAGGCCTTCACATTCACTCACCACCCTCTCACTCTTGCACCTAGAGCAACTTTCAGTCCTCCGCAGGTATACCATCGTTTATCTTTTAAAGTGTATTTTTACTGTACCTTTTCTATGTTTAGATATACCTAGAAATGCAAATAGTTATTATTGTGCTACAATTGTGTACAGTAACTTGCATGTTTGTAGACTAGAAGCAATAGACTATATCACATAGCCTAGGTCTGTCGTAGTTTGTATCTTCTAGGTTTGTTATGATGTTTGCACAACGATGAAATTGCCTATCAATGAGTTCCTCAGAATGTATTCTTATTGTTAAGTGACATATGACTGTACAAGGAAAATGTGAAATTATGGGTTAGGGTCACATTGAGAAGGGCATTTTTAGCATTTTTAGGGGCCAATTTGATGTACACTGGACCATGACTTCTGATGACTGGGGATGGGGTTGTATGCTGGGAGGTTGACTCAACCAGGGCTACAATTCTCCCAAGCTGTTTTGCTGAAGTTTCACATCAATGACCCCTAAGTAGAGCTCATCTGCACCGTCTACTGATAACAGTGACATTGATGATTTGCATTGGGTCTCAATGAGTCCTCAATTATATAGCATTATATAGCATAAGCCTGCCATTATATAGCAGACTATGCCCACATGAACAGCAGGGTAGCAGAAGACCAGGCTGTAATGCCATTTTGGCCTCACTGGATCTGAGAGGTTTGCACATACGTAGGTGGTTCCTGACCAAACAGAAAAGTGCATCCATACATCCTTGCGCAGGGAGAATACTTAGAGCCCACTCCCAGCCTCTTTGGACCCCTCCCTATGAGGCAGCCTTAGGCTGAGGTGTATATCCTTACATTAATGCTGTTGCTATATTGTATCCTTTGCCTGTAAGAAACTGTCTTTGTCAGCATTACCAGTTTGGATCCTGAGGGTCTTTCTTAGCAATTGAACTGGACTAACTGCCACCACTAATGCAGATCTGAACAGAAGGATGGATATCTTTGGAATATCAAAGGCAGAGTTCAGACTTGCTAACATAACTGTGTAGGAGGAGGGTGCAATTTCCCGGAAAAAGGCAATTTGTGGAATAACACTAACTGAGCTCATCTGCCTATCCTAATACTGCCTTTAACATGGTTCAGGGATGGTTACTTAGGTCTGGTGACACAGACTGTGTCCCCTCAGCCATGTCCCCTCATCCAACTTGTGTCCTCTCAGCTTAGGTACAAGTATTTGAGATGAGCAATCCCATTACTGGGCGTATGCCCAAAGGAATATAAATCATTCTATTATAAAGATATATGCATACTTATGTTCATTGCAGCACTAAGGAAGATTGCACCCTCCTCCTACGCAGTTATGTTAGCAAGTCTGAACTCTGCATTTGATATTCCAATGATATCCATACTGCTGTTCAGATCTGCACTAGTAGTGGCAGTTAGTCCGGTTCAATTGCTAAAAAAGACCCTCAGGATCCAATTCCTAAACCTATTAAATTTCTTGTTATTTAGTGACTTTATCACAGAGGGGCTTAGGAATATGTTCCAGGTTGTCAGGAAAAAAGAGCATAATTTTCTTTTTCTTTCATTTCGCAGATGGAGGAACAGATTGCCTGGTTGGCTTACAAGACACCTAGCCTGCAAGTGGCAGAGTCACGATTTCAATGCAGCCCTGTCGGAGGTAAAGCCTACACTTTGTCAATTCCATTAAGCAACTTAATAACTCCTGGTGAATCCTCCAGGCCATATATTTCTTTTTTTAAGTTCCATTTTATTTTTAATTGATAAGTAATAATTGTATATATTTATCAGGTACAATGTGATGTTTGGATACATGTATACATTGTGGAATGATCAAATCACGCTACTTAGCATATCTGTCATCTCAAATACTTATTATTTCTTTCTAGCGAGAACATTTAACGTCCTTTTAGCTATTTTGAAGTATATAATGCATTATTACTAACTATAGTCACCATGGTGTGTAATAGATTACCAGAAATTATTCCTCCTGTCTAATGAAAATTTTGTACCCTTGACCAGTGTCTTCCCTTTCCCCCAGCCTCTGATAACCACGATTCTATTCTATCTTGATTAGACCTTCCCTGCGAGCACTGGGGAATTGTCCACACTGCCCTTTGATTGGAGATTTGTGAGAATGTGGAAAGATGTACTAGTCTTATTTCTCTCCCTTCAACTACGATTTCTTTGAATTCTAATTTCTTCCTAAAACATGATCCATAGTGGTATAGTTTGGCTGTGTCCCCACCCAGAATCTCATCTTGAATTATAATCTCCATAATCCCCACATGTAAAGGGAGAGACCAGGTGGAGGTAGTTGAATCATGGGGGTGGTTTCCCCCATGCTGTTCTCGTAATAATGAGCTCTCACGAGAACTGACAGTTTTATACGGGACTCTTCCCCCTTCACTTCTCGCACTTCTCGCTCCTGACCGCTTGTGAGAAGGGTTATGTTTTCTTCCCCTTCCATCATGATTCTAAGTTTCCTGAGGCCTCCCCAGCCTTGCAGAACTGTAAGTCAATTAAACCTCTTTCCTTTATAAATTACCCAGTCTTGGGTATTTCTATATAGCAGTGTGAGAACAAACTAACACACAGAGAACACAGCAAAAAATCTTCTCCTGCTGGTGACAGTGTGTTAGTCTCAAGTGCAGACTACCGGTTCATCCAAGGTGCTCCCTTTCCCTTAGACTACCCTGTGGAAATATTGCTTTCACAATCAGCCTTGTCTCCATCCCAGCAATTTTAACGGACGTACCTCCAGAAATTCCCATTTTTCTTACTGGCAGTGGCCATACCACCTCAGTCTAGGGATTAGAAAGTGGCTTCCCACACAGCCAAACAAAAGGAGGGAAACAGTGTTTGAAGCCCAGTGTAAGATGAGGGCACAAAGGAGAGAGAGAAGGCACCAGCACACCTAGTTTTATGCCTCTAAAAACACACTCATATTCATCCACCAGCAGTTTTAAATCTTCCTTAGTGTTTGAAATTGCACTAAGTAGCCTGGGAAGAAGACTTGTTGCCTGAAAGATTGGATGGCAGCTTGAAACACCTGGAAGCCTCTCTGAAGGAAAACCTATTAATCCCATACATGCCAGGATCTTCAGCAAAGTCCCTCATAACTTGAGCAATTCCTGCTTTGGAAGATAGGGAAAACCTGGGACATTCACTAAAATGGCACATGCAGGACCTCAGTATTTCCATAAGGAAATATGAGGATGAAAGCAGGGAACGTGAGTCACTGTGTGTCCGTTGGCATTTCGAAAGCGATATATGAATCACTCTAATGCAATTGGGGGCTGTAAATGGGAGATGGAAGTGAATGAAGGAACAAAAGTGCTACTCCTAAGCTTTAAAGGTCAAGCTACTGTAGATATGGGTATCACGGAAAGGGCATGAAGGTCACGAAGGGGGATGTTAGGTTCATTGAGATGGATATGAGTGCCAGAGGAAACAGATTGCTCATTAGTGTTATGTTGGTAACTTCGTCAAAGGTGAATATTTCACTTATTGCATGGTTAGTGTGCCATTATATAGGACTTAAAGTGATTCCTAGCTATAGGATAGTTATTCCTGGTTGCAGTCACATGGGGAATATACCTAACATTGTTTCGTGGTTCTTGCACCATCTATGTTTATCTGTTTATTTTCTCTTTTAGTGTTTTCAAGTTTTAGCACATGCAAGATGTTATAAGGGACCCTTAAGGAAAAGTTTTGTGTCTACATATGGATGAGAATTAAAGGGAGACTACCACCTATGCTCTACATGTAGCGAGAATCCAAGTAAAGACAAAAAAAAAAAACAAAACAGAAAAACGAATTTACATTACTGGTCTTCAGCTACTTTGGTCAGCATACTTATGGAATGAAATGTTGGAAGTTCTAATTACATACACGTAATGCATAGAACAGACAGGGGAACCAGGATATGGGTACCATAAGCAGCTGTGTCAACATGATGGCCTGGGAAAACGGCTTTACAAATGGCCAAGACTAGAGAGTGGTTGGCTCTGAAGGGGAAGTGAAAAGAGTGTTGCAGGGCTAACCAGGCATGGACCTTGGCCATACAATTGCCAAGGGCCATATTAACAATAAGAGATTATAACAATAATTTCACCTTCCATTAAAACATTTGACCTTCATCACAACCCCATGGAGTTGCAAGGATTATGAACATGGACCTGAATATGTAAAGCCCAGAGCTGAGAGGACAAAAGTTGGATGAGGGGACATGGTTGAGGGGACACAGTCTGTGTCACCAGACTGGGTAGACAAAAGAGAAAATTTAGAAATCTAGGGGAAACATACACAGGAAAGATTGTGTGTTTCCCAAGCCTAAATATGGGCATTATCTTTTCATAAGAATTGATTATACTAAACCCATCATCAGGCTTACCTCCTGTTGTGTGCACTTTCTCAAAGGAATATAAAGTTCATGAACATACTGATTTTCTGTACTTTTCATAATTGATCCCAGGTGCCTAGAACAGCACCATGCACATTAAAATTATACAACTGTTTGCTGAATGAAGTAATAAATGAATCCCTCCTTTTAGCAACACTCACTAGAATCCAGCTCAAATGTGTTTAATAAAATTAATTAGTCCAGGGACACCATCAAGTATTTTAGGCTGTTAGCCAATTAGAACCACCCCCATTGCTTTGCCAGGTCAAGCAGGTACATTTTCTAGGTTTTTAAGCAAACTCTAACGAAGGAAAAAGGAAGTGCATGGATTAGAAGTTATTTGGGCAGAGGATTGATTTGGATGTGTCTTGCATCAAGGCTTGTGGAAAACTAAAACTGTGATTTTTTTTTTCTCTTTCTCCTCACTTTTTCCTGATTTTTCTAGGTGAGATGGAGTAAGTTCTCAGGATATAAGAGCTAAGTTCTAAACCTTGTCTTCAAAGAAGATCTTTGAGGGACTTTTCTCCCCTTTTTTCCTTTCTAAAAGACACTTCACCTTGAGAGAAAAGTTAGTAGATTCCCCTTTTTATTCCCCATCTTGGGATTCTGTTCCTTTATTACTCCTTAGGCTTCGTCAGTAAGTATTGACAAAAGAAGTGCTATGGTCTGAATGTTTTTGTCTCCCCCAAATTCATATGTTGAAATCCTACCCCCAATATGATGGTATGAGGAAGTGAGGTCTTTGGAAGGTGATTAGGCCATAAAGGTAGAGACCCCACGAATGGGATTAGTGCCCTTATAAAAAAGGCCTGAGAGATCCTTTGCCTCTTCTACCATGTGAGGACAGAGTAGGAAGAAATGATTTCAATGAGAAGTGATCCAGGATGTGGGCCCTCATCAGACAGTGAATGTGCCTAGATGTTGGACTTCCAAGGCTCCAGAACTGTGAGAAATACATTTCTTATGTTTCCAAACTATCCAGTTTTTGTTAATTCATTATAACAGCCCAAATGGAGTAAGAGAGGAAGAAAACTTGTTTTAGGTCTTACAGGGTTGCTTAGACTAGTCGGAGTTCCTGTCTGGGAGATTCTTGCAAGTGTTACGTATTTCAGCTCACCTTAGGTGGTTCTCCCTCCACCAACTCCAGATTTTTATTGCCCACTTAAATGCCTCATCAGCTTCAATTCTCTCTGGCTTAATTTGTGTGTAGGGGTTGAAATTATTTTCCAGCTTCAGAAGACCTGCCTCAGGAGTTTCCCTTGTAAACCTTGCTTATTTTATAAGCAAATGAGAAAGACAAATTGCTGGCTGAATTCATGGGTCTTAAGCTTAATAGCTCCTTGTAGGGAAGTACAGAATACGGCCAGGGGTGGGAGGGAGGTGAGTGACTAATACAACCCCTGTGTAGTCTTTGTTAGGAAGAAGATTAGAGAACCTAGAGCCAGGATATTGTTGAAATGCTCTAGGGTGGTGGCAATCCACACTGTTCAACTGGTTATACTTTGGGTAGAAAGGATGACAGAATAAATGAGAGTGGATGACCAGTCTGGTTAAATAGCAACCAGAAGAAGTGGGTCTGGCGATTAAGTTCAAAGAATGGTGCCTTTCTCTTGGTACCTTCTTGATAGTGTGAGCTCAAGCAAAGCATGGGAAAACATCTAAGCCATGAAGGTATGGATCCATGTGGCTCTGATATCTTTTTAGTGGTGGAATTTGGAGAAATTTGAACACTTGTGCTACAGAGATATGACTATGTATGAGGATGGCTCTGGTCATCCCGACATTTCTCTACCCACATATTAACCCCAAACATTTCTTTACCCATATATTAACAGGAGATATTTGTGATGAATTTGCCAAAGTACCTGAGGAGATCATCAGAATCTCTGACTTAGACCTATGGTCTAGATAATGTGGGGTGGGGTGGTACTCAAGAGTCGATTACTAGATTCTGGGGTTTGTTTCTTGACCCTCAATTTCAGGCATCATTGAGAAAGTTCTTGAGCAGCAGAAGCTTCTTTTTCACAAATATAACTCTTGTATCCTTGTCTGTGGAATGCAACGATTTTCGTGGTTTGGGTTGGACAACCAGATTGGATTTCTATGTTTGGGAACAGGCAGTATTCTCTCTGCCATCTCTACTCATGAACAGCTGCTGGGTATATTGGCGCTGTCCCACAGGTGGGACTAATTTTGCTTATATTTGCTCACAGGGTTTTGAGAGTCTCATTTGAATATAATTACTGAGATTGCTGCTCCTTTACTTTTTATAAAAAAGATCTGCAGTATGGAATGCATTACTCATGAAAAGAGATTGCATTAGGCTGGATAATTGAAAGACTAACAAGGCCTCGAAGAGCATATTCAATAAAGGCAGAGGATACAGTAAAGCAGGAACAAGAGATTGCAAGAAAGCATCAGAGGTCCAAGAAACTTCCAAGCGCAGCTCCCCAGTGTCTTTCTTATTTGCATCAGGATATGCAATGTTTCCAAATTGAATTACCAAGAATTGTGTGATGATAAATCTTTGTTTTGGGAAAGGTACTTAAACATTTCCAACAGGGTCTTTTATATCCTCTTGGTCACATAGCCAAGCCAGGATATCCAACTGATTATACTGGGTATAAGCCATCAATAAACAAACTGGTTCTGACTGCCACCAGGAGAATTTGAACTTTAATCATCACATCATTAATCATTAGCTCACTATTCTTGTCTTGGCTGAGTCAGGGCCAGAGTCCCAAGAATTCCTGAAGATTAGCAAAGAGTTGTCCTGGTCAAGCTCTAAGGTACCTATCTTGCACAATCTACCCTCTGACACTTAGTCACACCTTTTAAAATACATGTGTATTACTGGTTCTTTTTCCTGAAACTTTGACTATTCATAGAAAAAAGAGAAAGGGCATTTTCCAAAGAAATAACTCTCTCCCAATGAAGTATAAGTGTTTTAAAGAAACATTTCAGTTTACCAATTTTCCAGCATAAACATGTGCAACCATTACAATGGTTTTACACCTTTTCACTACTGAAATTTCTGGGGAGGAGGGTGTTGCTTTTATAAACATTGAGATATAACTTACACACCATAAAGTTCACCCTTTTAGTGTATGTAGTTCAGTGATTTTTGGCATATTCACAAGATTGTGAATCCATCACAACTATTTAATTGCAGAATATTTTTATCACTCCCTAAAGGAATCCCATACCCATTGTCAGTAACTCCCTTCCCTCCAACTTCTGCAAGCGCAAATCTAGTTTCTGTGTCTATGGAATTGCCTATTATGAACATTTTATATGAGTGGGCTATATGATACGTGGCTTTTTGTGACTGGCTTCTTTCACTTAGAACAAAGTTTTAAAGGTTCATCCATGTTGTAAGGATGTATTGGTACCTCATTCTCTTTTTAAAAACTTTATTGAGATATAATTAACATACCATTCAATTTACAGATATAAAGAGTACAATTCAATAGCTTTTTGTATATTTAAAGTGCAACTATCACAACAACCAATTTTAGAATATTTTAATTGTCTTTGAGTGTATCCTGGTTGGAGTTTCTTGAGCTTCTTGGACATGTAAATTAATATTTTAAAATTAAATTTGGAAGTTTTTGCTCATCATTATTACTTTTTTGAGATGGAGTTTCACTCTGTTGCCCAAGCTGCTGGAGTGCAGTGGCAGGATCTTGGCTCACTTCAACCTCCACCTTCCAGTTTCAAGCAATTCTCCTGCTTCAGCCTCACCAGTAGCTGGGATTACAAGCTCCCACCACCAGGCCTGGCTAAGTATTTTTAGTAGAGATGGGGTTTCGCCATGTTGGCCAGGCTGGTCTCGAACTCCTGACCTCAAGTGATCTGCCTGCCTTGGCCTCCCAGAGGGAGGGATTACTGGGATTACAGGCATGAGCCACCATGCCGGGCTGGTCATTATTTTTTAAAATATTTTTTCTGCTCCTTTCTAGCCTCTCTTGGATTTTCATTATGTGTATGTTGGTAATTTACTGATGTCCCACAGGACTCTGAGGCTCTATTCCTTTTGTTTATTCTCTTTTCTTTTCTCATACGGAATAATCTCAATCTACTTATCTTGACGTTTGCAGATTCTTTCTTCTGCTGGCTCAAATCCGCTATTGAGCTCTAGTGAATTTTTCACTTCAGTTAGTTTTCAACTTCTGAATTAATATTTGGTTTTTCAAAAAATAATTTCTATCTTTTTATTTTTTATTGGATGAAACATAATTTTCATACTTCCCTGTAGGTCTTTAGCTATGGCTTCCTTTAGTACTTTGAACATGTTTAAGTAGTTGATGTAAAGTCTTTGTCTAGTAAGTTCAATATTTTTTCTTCCTCAGGGAAAGTTTCTATTGACTTTGTGTGTGTGTGTGTGTGTGTGTGTGTGTGTGTGTGTGTGTTGTGTATGGGCCTTACTTTCTTGTTTCTTTGCATGACTTTAATTTTTTGTTGAATATTGGACATTCAAGATAACACAGTGTGGCAACTTTGGAATTCAGATTCTTTCCCACTCTCCAGGGTTTGTTGTTGCTGTTTTTAGTTGTTTGTTTGTTTAGTGAATTTTGGGAACTAATTTTGTAAAATTCTATTTCTCATGTGTGGCCACTGACATGTCTGAATGGTTAGTTTAGTGACCAACACATGATTGGATAGAAATTTCCTTAAATATCTGGAATCAATTAATCTTTGCTAAGAGGTTCTGTGTGTGTTTTGGGGCATGCCTTTGACATGCAACTGAGTAGTTGACAACTCTGCCTTAGCCTTCACTTCCTGTTTGTGCAGAACCTCCAGACTAGCCAGAGGAGAGAGTTTAGAGGGTTATCAGGTATTTCCTGAGCATATGCAGAGCCCTGTACATGCACACAGCTTTACACACATAAGTGGCTTCTATAGTCTCAGGGATGTGTCACAGCTTTTCAAGGTTCCTATGGACAGCTTATCCTCTAGCTTTCCCTTTAAGCTTTTTAATTAGTCTGTTGTTAGCCATAACTGTTATCCACCACTTCAGGCAGCTGCAATATTATGCAATTGACTCTTATTGTTTTCAACACTTTTGGGGAAAAGAATTTTTCACAAGGGAGAGTTCTTAGTAAGGTAAAAATGAAGACAACCCTGTCAGTGGGCTCTTCTAGGGAACCAACAGGCAATTAACATCACAACAATTTTCTGTGAATGTGCTTTAAAGAAGCTCCAACCCCATTCCACCTTCTTCAGTGTATGACAGGCTGCTGGTTTTCACTGTGATTGTAGGTTATTGACTTTTGAGGCTGTGACTGAGCTGGGAGAGGAGATAGGAAAAGGGAAGTTATAAAACTATAAACCTATTTTTCTTACCAAGATTGAGCTTTTTTTTTGGTAAATAAATTATTCCCAGATTGTTGCAAGCCTTTGATTAATTTCTGTAGTTCTGCAACAGTTGATTCTGACAACTTTTTTGTTGGTCGGTATTCTTATTTCTTTTATAGATGAGAGGATTTTTGGATGAATCAGGTACAGTGGAAAAACACCTTGTAGAAGTTTTAATTCAATCTCCCAGTACGTTTTATCTTTGATATTAGTAGAATCAGGCTTTGTTAGAAATCAAATCTTACTAATTGCACTAAATAGGGGTTACATTATGAGTTAGAATATAATTATTACAAAATTCATAATAATTAAACTAGTTTTTTTTTAAAACTAATATGGCCTTTGCTCATATGCCAAATATTGTTATGGATTGGAACATAGATCAAGGGTCAAGTCTCATTTAATTTGAGATTAAAAATTTTGTGGGCAAAAACATGCCATGCTTTATACTAAAGGTTATACTGACATGGGATCTTAATGAACTTTAAGTGATTGTCATCTTTCCCTAACTGTTAAAATCCTAGTCAAGTTTAATGAGCTTCTATTATGACTAACTACATTCTTATTTCCTGCTGGAGAAGTGCCTCAATGTGGGAGAAGGGGCTCTCTGTATACTTTACAATCCCTCATCAGTTTGGTATGTTGATGGAGGAATCTTTTTGGAATAATAAAGGTCTACTGCTTTGGAAGTTTTAATCATCTGGGAATATGCTGGAACACAGTGTTGGTGACAAGTAGTATAAAAAACCTTGAGCTTCCAGAAGTCAGGGAGAAGCTCTGGGTTAAGCCTCCTGGTGAATTAGGCTGATAAATATTCATGGGTATAGGCAGAAACTTATTCTGGAGATTCTCAACAGGGATCCTGACAACTGATTACAGGCATAGAAACTGTGAACCCAAAGAAAGGAGGCAACTAGTTCTCCAAACTTTGCTTAGAATGATCTAGAGAGGGCTCCCGTTCTAGTGAGCACACCTTTAGAATTTATGGTTAGAAGTAAAAAATATGTGATGTAAGGACCCAAGACATGTACTCAGAAGTAACATCAAGTCACTAAGAAGGAAAATAGCAGCCTGGAAAGAACTGGACTAACAGCTACCGTTAAAGCAGGGCCTTGCTTGCATAGAGGCTAGCCAATTCACAGTGGCCTTGCATTCCATTCTGGAAATTGTCTGCTCTATTTAAGGTTGGGTTTTTTTTCGTAACTGAGAAAGGAAGGATGAGTCGCCCTAACTTTCCTTAATGCCTGAAACATTTGATCCCAAATTTTGCATGGATTTTCTCTTGAATGGCCATTGCTGATTGGAAATATCAATGGAATTCTTAGTAATTCCACTATCTTTGGGCTGCTCCCTAGTTTCCCAAGAAACAGCCTCACTGTACGAGCCTGCTACCTTGCTCTTGTACTACCACTCCACTTGCCTGTGCACTATACATATCTATTAATTGTCCCGTTTTATGCAATCTTCTCCTCTCTCTCTCTGCAATCTCCTCCCCTGACCCCAATAATCTCAGAACATCAGTATATTTAGCACAGATATCAGTCACTATTTCACTCCTGCTCCCTCCAGTGGCACTACAGTGGACCTGACAGTCTGTTTTCCCCCAGAGCCTGTTAAGTGATTCCATCCATGGGTGCTTGGCCTGTGATTGCATCACAAGCTGGATAACACTTGTTTTTCTTTTCTCTTGCACCCCCCTGGCTTGTCTTGTATCCTTCCTCATTCCTGTGTTCTTCTTAGGAACTTGTTTTTGCAGTAAAAATGCATCTTGAATGTAGAGTTACAGAAAAATTTGAGATTGGTGAGAAGTTTTCTTTGTGCTAACGGAGTTGCTTCTAATACTTGTCTAGGCTGTGTCTTTATTTGCTGTGGGGAAGTTATTTTACCAGTTGGAGTGGGGTTATGATGACATATTTACAAACACTGAAGTATGAGCCTGTGAAGGAGAGTCCATCCCAGGACATCATTAAGGGCTGGACGTATTAGGGGATGGATTTATTAGGGGTATCTCCTGGCAATGCCCCCATCCTCTTTGATAGGACCTCGCTGACAAAGCCTGACCCTTAGGGTGCATGTGTGTGCATAGACTGTAGTTTTCAATTTTCTGCTTGAAGGTGGCAGAAGGAATTCCAGTCATCATGAGATCATTGGTGTCTCTCTTCAGAGTTCATGGACAGTATTGCTAAAATAAATGCCCCATCTAGCTTAGATAAGCTTGGGTTTCTTTTTCTTATGAGACAGGGTCTTGTTTTGTCACCCAGGCTGGAGTTGAATTTGCTGAGACAAAAGATGCTGATGAAATGCAGTAGCTTTCTTAACATGAAAGCAAATCCATGTTGCAGCTTAATTTTCCCTCTATTAATTACTCAATGGAATACTACTCAGCCACTAAAAGGAATGAATTAATGGCATTTGCTGCAACCTGGATGGGGTTGGAGACTATTATTTTAAGTGAAGTAATTCAGAAATGGAAAACCAAACATCGTATATTCTCACTCATAAGTGAGAGACTTCTGCCATGATTGTAAGTTTCCTGAGGCCTCCTCAGAAGCTGAGGAGATGACAGTATCATGCTTCCTGTATAGCTTGCAGAGCTGAGCTGATTAAACCCTTTTTCTTTATAAATTACCTAGTCTCAGGCACTTCTTTATAGCATTGTGAGAATGACCTAATACACTATTGAATTGAGGGAGGCCATTTAATCTTTAGCATTTTTCACCAGCATTGTGCTATATAGAGAACAACTACTCTAGCACTTCATAGCTGTTGGCACACTCCTCTCCTATGTCTTGATGGGGAGAGTGTGCCTTCTGCATCCTTTAATAGGATATAGTTGAAGGTTGGTGGTGATTATCTGGTTGCTATGTGGTAAATACATACTAGAATTTCTATCTCGTGAAGTACTTAGTTGACAGAAATTCTTTGTTTACAGTATAGAGGCCAAAATCTAGCTTGGACCACCTTTGAGTTCAAGTTTTTATCAAATTAGATGAGAAACACAAAAGCAACTTCCAGCTGCTTCAGCTTTTATAGTTGAATCCATAATCTGGTAATTATACCCATATTACTAAATAAAGCTCGAGCTAAAATTTAGTACTTGCTCGGTCTAGCAGCCTCACATTTTCCAATCGAGTCCGGTACATCTTCCTCATATTTTGCTGATTCCAAATAGCAATATCCTGCAATCGTTTTGGCAGATGAATTTTCATTTTATAACCTCATCTCAGTCCTTTCACTACTGCCACCAAGTGGTAGATATAGAGATGTGCCACCCAGCTCACTTCATGTAAGTGGAGCCTGGCTGTGGGGAGTGCAGAGCACTTCTGGCTGTCAGCTCCTTTAAGGTCAGCCTCCCTGGTAGAAAGATTCCTCGTCCAATGACACCCTCTTGCTGGGGAAACCCATACCCAGTAATTAAGTAGCGTAGGGTTAAAAAGCCTGGCCATTGAAGCCTGAAGCAGGACAACTGTGGTGTGTAACTGACTGTTGAGCGTTCCTTCTGTTTGGTTAGGAGATTGTTGCATTGTAGTTTGACTTCTTCTGCTCAAGTCTGCTTCCTCCCCCTTCTTGTTGGATTAATATTAATTCCAAAAAAAAAAAAAAAAAAAATCCTGCACCCTGATTTGGTCTCAGAGTAGCTTCTGGAGAACTCAACCTGTAGCAATTGGTACCAGAGGTGGTATGGACTGAAAAAGTAGGTGATATGATAGGGTTTTGGAGCTGGATTACTTACCGCTCAGCTGGAACTGAGGACCCTATCACTATTGGTGGGAGGAGCAGATACAGCTTTCACTGGTGATATATTGTGTTGGTCTAGTGTCTACCATGGGTAGAGAAAGCATTGGTGGGTACAATATTTCAAGTATTTGGGACACACAGAGGAAAGAGAAACTATAAGAAAGAATAAATTGGATGGATGTCCTTAAGAGCTTCTGTGCCACAGAAAGATAACGAGCAGGCAATTAAAAATTAGGAAAGTAAGCAAGAGGGGTTCTTTGTATACAAAAAAACTTTTTATCTCCTGCACCAGGGAGACATATAAAAATGAGGACCAAGCCCATTTAAGAGTTGAAATGATAGAATGTCAAATATAGTTAAATGTCCCACAAAACAGATCTGTTACATCAAATTTGGGGCTCTGATTAGGATAATCTGGGGCCCTGACACGTAGGATGAGGACATCTGGGTGGCTGCATCCCAAAGTTTGGCTTCCCAGACTCTCCTGAACTTTCTTAGCATTCAGAAATGGCCCTCAACTCTTCCTATTAACAGCAAATACCTCTTTGGGCTGAAAGATAATGCATAGGAATCTCTTCTGCAAAGTGAGTGACACATGCCTGTCTCAGGACCTACTCTCTCCTGGCTACTAGCCCTATAATTATGGCCAAGTGACAGCATAATCCAATTTGAGAGGTGATGGGCCTGAAAGGTGCTACACCTGAGGAAGGAGGAATGGAACTCTACTCCAAAGACCTGCAGAAGTATACAGCAGGAGCTGGGGGAGTATGATTGGGACTGGCTTCTCAGCATGCTAGATCATCACTCTAATATATATAGTTAATTAATAAAGAGTTTGATTTGGTAGTAATCTCCTGAGATAAAGGATTTAGGACACTGGCAAGGATACTAGGAGATAGGACAATCCTGCTACTAGAATGAGTTCTAGAAGCATGAAAAATAGAATGGCTCAGGCTGAGTGAAATTGAAATGCCATAATTATTGTGGTAGACAGTAGAGGGAGGGATTGAAAGGCTCAACGACATAGGATTGATGTCCTGAATCCACTACATATGGCTGGAAGACACACTTGATAATTACATTCTATGGGAAGGCCCAGAGCCCACACCATTTACAAAGGTCTTATGAAAAAAAAAAAAAACACCTTGAGAAGGGCACTGGAATCACTAAAATGTTCAGTAATGATTCTCCTCTGTAGGAGAGGCAGTCATAGAACTTGGCTTTCTGATAGCAATAGGAATGATAGGACCTTGAATAAAATAGAGGCCAGATCCTAGCACTTACTCATCAGAAGCTAGAGCATTGTCATTATCATAATGACTTGTAAGAATGGGATGGCAGTCCGCCTTTCTTCACAGAAAGTTATAAAGATCAATAAAACATGGTGGCCAACAAGGAAAGTACTTAAGCAACCAAATCAAGGACAAATCAAATCAAGGGCAGAAGATCTGGAAGCTGAGAATGGTTGTTCCCAGTTTAAAAAAAGTCACAATCTCTTGCCCAATATCCAAACCTGAGTCAGGTCAGATCTCAGAATACATTGAAAGGTAACTGAGTTCTCAGGAAGGGACTCTATAGCAGCATGGAAAATGTATGTGGTAATGATCCCCTATGGCTATTTCAGCTAACTGTATAGTGGGGAAAGCAGAATACACAAATAGGTGGAGGACTCTTGAACACGGAGTCTGACATGACATTAATACCCAGAGAACCAAAGCATTTTCATGGAAAAGGGATGCCAGGTAACAAATTGAGTCCTGGACAAGGCCCAGTTTACAGCAGATCCATTTGCTTCATGGACAAACTCAGTGGTCATTTTCTTTTTTCTTTTTTATTATTATTATTATACTTTAAGTTTTAGGGTACATGTGCACAATGTGCAGGTTAGTTACATATGTATACATGTTCCATGCTGGTGTGCTGTACAGCATTAGGTATGTCTCCTAATGCTATCCCTCCCCCCGCCCCCCACCCCACAACAGTCCCCAGAGTGTGATGTTCCCCTTCCTGTGTCCATGTGTTCTCATTGTTCAGTTCCCACCTATGAGTGAGAATATGCGGTGTTTGGTTTTTTGTTCTTGTGATAGTTTACTGAGAATGATGATTTCCAATTTCATCCATGTCCCTACAAAGGACATGAACTCATCATTTTTTATGGCTGCATAGTATTCCATGGTGTATATGTGCCACATTTTCTTAATGCAGTCTATCATTGATGGACATTTGGGTTGGTTCCAAGTCTTTGCTATTGTGAATAGAGCTGCAATAAACATACCTGTGCATGTGTCTTTATAGCAGCATGATTTATAGTCCTTTGGGTATATACCCAGTAATGGGATGGCTGGGTCAAATGGTATTTCTAGTTCTAGATCCCTGAGGAATCGCCACACTGACTTCCACAATGCTTGAACTAGTTTACAGTCCCACCAACAGTGTAAAAATGTTCCTATTTCTCCACATCCTCTCCAGCACCTGTTGTTTCCTGACTGTTTAATGATCGCCATTCTAACTGGTGTGAGATGGTATCTCATTGTGGTTTTGATTTGCATTTCTCTGATGGCCAATGATGGTGAGCATTTTTTCATGTGTCTTTTGGCTGCATAAATGTCTTCTTTTGAGAAGTGTCTGTTCATGTCCTTCACACAGTTTTTGATGGGGTTGTTTGCTTTTTTCTTGTAAATTTGTTTGAGTTCATTGTAGATTCTGGATATTAGCCCTTTGTCAGATGAGTAGGTTGCAAAAATTTTCTCCCATTTTGTAGGTTGCCTGTTCACTGTGATGGTAGTTTCTTTTGCTGTGCAGAATCTCTTTAGTTTAATTAGATCCCATTTGTCAATTTTGGCTTTTGTTGCCATTGCTTTTGGTGTTTTAGACATGAAGTCCTTGCCCATGCCTATGTCCTGAATGGTAATGCCTAGGTATTCTTCTAGGGTTTTTATGGTTTTAGGTCTAACGTTTAAGTCTTTAATCCATCTTGAATTAATTTTTGTATAAGGTGTAAGGAAGGGATCCAGTTTCAGCTTTCTACATATGGCTAGCCAGTTTTCTCAGCACCATTTATTCAATGGGGAATCCTTTCCCCATTGCTTGTTTTTCTCAGGTTTGTCAAAGATCAGATAGTTGTAGATAAGTGGCGTTATTTCTGAGGGCTCTGTTCTGTTCCATTGATCTATATCTCTGTTTTGGTACCAGTACCATGCTGTTTTGGTTACTGTAGACTTGTAGTATAGTTTGAAGTCAGGTAGTATGATGCCTCCAGCTTTGTTCTTTTGGCTTAGGATTGACTTGGCGATGCTGGCTCTTTTTTGGTTCCATATGAACTTTAAAGTAGTTTTTTCCAATTCTGTGAAGAAAGTCATTGGTAGCTTGATGGGGATGGCATTGAATCTATAAATTACCTTGGGCAGTATGGCCATTTTCACAATATTGATTCTTCCTACCCATGAGCATGGAATGTTCTTCCATTTGTTTGTATCCTCTTTTATTTCATTGAGCAGTGGTTTTTAGTTCTCCTTGAAGAGGTCCTTCACGTCCCTTTTAAGATGGATTCCTAGGTATTTTATTCTCTTTGAAGCAATTGTGAATGGGAGTTCACTCATGATTTGGCTCTCTGTTTGTCTGTTATTGATGTATAAGAATGCTTGTGATTTTTGTACATTGATTTTGTATCCTGAGACTTTGCTGAAGTTGCTTATCAGCTTAAGGAGATTTTGGGCTGAGACAGTGGGGTTTTCTAGATATCCAATCATGTCATCTTCAAACAGGGACAATTTGACTTCCTCTTTTCCTAATTGAATACCCTTTATTTCCTTCTCCTGCCTAATTGCCCTGGCCAGAACTTCCAACACTATGTTGAATAGGAGTGGTGAGAGAGGGCATCCCTGTCTTGTGCCAGTTTTCAAAGGGAATGCTTCCAGTTTTTGCCCATTCAGTATGATATTGGCTGTGGGTTTGTCATAGATAGCTCTTATTATTTTGAGATACGTCCCATCAATACCTAATTTATTGAGAGTTTTTAGCATGAAGCGTTGTTGAATTTTGTCAAGGCCTTTTCTGCATCTATTGAGATAATCATGTGGTTTTGGTCTTTGGTTCTGTTTATATGCTGGGTTACGTTTATTGATTTGCGTATATTGAACCAGCTTTGCATCCCAGGGATGAAGCCCACTTGATCATGGTGGATAAGCTTTTTGATGTGCTGCTGGATTCTGTTTGCCAGTATTTTATTGAGGATTTTTGCATCAATATTCATCAAGGATATTGGTCTAAAATTCTCTTTTTTGGTTGTGTCTCTGCCTGGCTTTGGTATCAGGATGATGCTGGCCTCATAAAATGAGTTAGGGAGGATTCCCTCTTTTTCTATTGATTGAAATAGTTTCAGAAGGAATGGTACCAGTTCCTCCTTGTACCTCTGGTAGAATTCAGCTGTGAATCCATCTGGTCCTGGACTCTTTTTGGTTGGTAAGCTATTGATTATTGCCACAATTTCAGATCCTGTTATTGGTCTATTCAGAGATTCAACTTCTTCCTTGTTTAGTCTTGGGAGGGTGTATGTGTTGAGGAATTTATCCATTTCTTCTAGATTTTCTAGTTTATTTGTGTAGAGGTGTTCGTAGTATTCTCTGATGGTAGTTTGTATTTCTGTGGGATTGGTGGTGATATCCCCTTTATCATTTTTTATTGCGTCTATTTGATTCTTCTCTCTTTTCTTCTTTATTAGTCTTGCTAGTGGTATATCAATTTTGTTGATCCTTTCAAAAAACCAGCTCCTGGATTCATTGATTTTTTTGAAGGGTTTTTTGTGTCTCTATTTCCTTCAGTTCTGCTCTGATCTTAGTTATTTCTTGCCTTCTGCTAGCTTTTGAATGTGTTTGCTCTTGCTTTTCTAGTTCTTTTAATTGTGATGTTAGGGTGTTAATTTTGGATCCTTCCTGCTTTCTCTTGTGGGCATTTAGTGCTATAAATTTCCCTCTACACACTGCTTTGAATGTGTCCCAGAGATTCTGGTATGTTGTGTCTTTGTTCTTGTTGGTATCAAAGAACATCTTTATTTCTGCCTTCATTTCCTTATGTAGCCATTAGTCATTCAGGAGCAGGTTGTTCAGTTTCCATGTAGTTGAGCAGTTTTGAGTGAGTTTCTTAATCCTGAGTTCTAGTTTGATTTCACTGTCGTCTGAGAGACAGTTTGTTATAATTTCTGTTCTTTTACATTTGCTGAGGAGAGCTTTACTTCCAACTATGTGGTCAATTTTGGAATAGGTGTGGTGTGGTGCTGAAAAAAATGTATATTCTGTTGATTTGGGGTGAAGAGTTCTGTAGATGTCTATTAGGTCCGCTTGGTGCAGAGCTGAGTTCAATTCCTGGATATCCTTGTGAACTTTCTGTCTCGTTGATCTGTGTAATATTGACAGTGGGGTGTTAAAATCTCCCATTATTATTGTGTGGGAGTCTAAGTGTCTTTGTAGGTCACTCAGGACTTGCTTTATGAATCTGGCTGCTCCTGTACTGGGTGCATATATATGTAGGATAGTTAGCTCTTCTTGTTGAATTGATCCCTTTACCATTATGTAATGGCCTTCTTTGTCTCTTTTGATCTTTGTTGGTTTAAAGTCTGTTTTATCAGAGACTAGGATTGCAACCCCTGCCTTTTTTTGTTTTCCATTTGCTTGGTAGATCTTCCTCCATCCTTTTATTTTGAGCCTATGTGTGTCTCTGCACGTCAGATGGGTTTCCTGAATACAGCACAGTGATGGGTCTTGACTCTTTATTCAATTTGCCAGTCTGTGTCTTTTAATTGGAGCATTTAGTCCATTTACATTTAAAGTTAATATTTTTACTTGTGAATTTGATCCTGTCATTATGATGTTAGCTGGTTATTTTGCTCGTTAGTTGATGCAGTTTCTTCCTAGCCTCGATAGTCTTTACAATTTGGCATGATTTTGCAGTGGCTGGTACTGGTTGTTCCTTTCCATGTTTAGTGCTTCCTTCAGGACCTTTTTTAGGGCAGGCCTGGTGGTGACAAAATCTCTTAGCATTTGCTTGTCTGTAAAGTATTTTATTTCTCCTTCACTTATGAAGCTTAGTTTGGCTGGATATGAAATTCTGGGTTGAAAATTCTTTTCTTTAAGAATGTTGAATATTGGCCCCTACTCTCTTCTGGCTTGTAGAGTTTCTGCTGAGAGATCCCCTGTTAGTCTGATGTGCTTCCCTTTGTGGGTAACCCGACCTTTCTCTCTGGCTGCCCTTAACATTTTTTCCTTCATTTCAACTTTGGTGAATCTGACAATTATGTGTCTTGGAGTTGCTCTTCTTGAGGAGTATCTTTGTGGCGTTCTCTATATTTCCTGAATCTGGATGTTGGCCTGCCTTGCTAGATTGGGGGAGTTCTCCTGGATAATATCTTGCAGAGTGTTTTCCAACTTGGTTCCATTCTCCCCGTCATTTTCAGGTACACCAATCAGACGTAGATTTGGTCTTTTCACATAGTCCCATACTACTTGGAGGCTTTATTCGTTTCTTTTTATTCTTTTTTCTCTAAACTTCCCTTCTCACTTCATTTCATTCATTTCAACTTTCATCACTGATACCCTTTCTTCCACTTGATCGCATCGGCTCCTGAGGCTTCTGCATTATTCACATAGTTCTCGAGCCTTGGCTTTCAGCTCCATCAGCTCCTTTAAGCACTTCTCTGTATTGGTTATCCTAGTTATACATTCGTCTAAATGTTTTTCAAAGTTTTTAACTTCTTTGCCTTTGGTTTGAATTTCCTCCTGTAGCTCAGAGTAGTCTGATCATCTGAAGCCTTCTTCTCTCAACTTGTCAAAGTCATTCTCCGTCCAGCTTTGTTCCATTGCTGGTGAGGAACTGTATTCCTTTGGAGGAGGAGAGGTACTCTGCTTTTTAGAGTTTTCAGTTTTTCTGCTCTGTTTTTTCCCCATCTTTGTGGTTTTATCTACTTTTGGTCTTTGATGATGGTGATGTACAGATGGGTTTTTGGTGTGGATGTCCTTTCTGTTTGTTAGTTTTCCTTCTAACAGACAGGACCCTCAGCTGCAGGTCTGTCGGAGTTTGCTAGAGGTCCACTCCAGACCCTGTTTGCCTTGGTATCAGCAGCAGTGGCTGCAGAACAGCGGATTTTCGTGAACCGCAAATGCTGCTGTCTGATCGTTCCTCTGGAAGTTTTGTCTCAGAGGAGTACCCGGCCGTGTGAGGTATCAGTCTGCCCCTACTAGGGGTGCCTCCCAGTTAGGCTGCTCGGGGGTCAGGGGTCAGGGACCCACTTGAGGAGGCAGTCTGCCTGTTCTCAGATCTCCACCTGCGTGCTGGGAGAACCACTGCTCTCTTCAAAGTTGTCAGGCAGGGACATTTAAGTCTGCAGAGGTTACTGCTGTCTTTTTGTTTGTCTGTGCCCTGCCCCCAAGAGGTGGAGCCTACAGAGGCAGGCAGGCCTGCTTGAGCTGTGGTGGGCTCCACCCAGTTCGAGCTTCCTGGCTGCTTTGTTTACCTAATTAATCCTGGGCAATGGCGGGCACCCCTCCCCCAGTCTCAGTGCCACCTTGCAGTTTGATCTCAGACTGCTGTGCTAGCAATCAGCGAGACTCCGTGGGCGTAGGACCCCCTGAGCCAGGTGTGGGATATAACCTCCTGGTGTGCCATTTTTTAAGCCCGTCGGAAAAGCGCAGTATTAGCGTGGAAGTGACCCGATTTTCCAGGTGCAGTCTGTCACCCCTTTCTTTGACTAGGAACGGGAACTCCCTGACCCCTTGTGCTTCTCGAGTGAGGTAATGCCTTGCCCTGCTTCAGCTCGCGCACGGTGTGCTGCACCCACTGTCCTGCGCCCACTGTCTGGCACTCCCTAGTGAGATGAACCCGGTACCTCAGATGGAAATGCAGAAATCACCCGTCTTCTGCGTCGCTCATGCTGAGAGCTGTAGACCGGAGCTGTTCCTATTCGGGCATCTTGGCTCGCTAGTTCCTCCCAGTGGTCATTTTCCAGTCCTCAAATGTATAATTGGTTTTGCCATACTTGGTGGTTGGTAGAACACCCTCCTTGGATTCACAGCCTGTTGGGGAAAGCTATTATTGTGGAAAGGTCAAGAGGAAGCACCTGAAATCACCCTATGCAATACCAGCCATGATGGTAAATGAAAAGCAAAATCACATATTACAAGGGGACAGGGAATAGTGGAGATGAATGTCACTGTTGAAGATCTAAAGGATGTAGAAGTGGTAGCCATATCATAGATCTTTTCAATTTACCACTCTGGCCTCTGCAGAAACCATATGGATCTGGGAGGGTAACTATAACTAACTACTACAAGCTTGACCACGTACTAGCCCCAGTTGCAGCTGTCATGTCAGGTATGGTATTTATGCTAGGCTAGATTAATATGGCTGCTATCCCAATGAGAAAAGAGGATCAGAAACAGTTATCACTGAGTAGACAAAAATACAGATTTATGGTTTTCTCCAGGCTATGTTAACTTTTTCTCCCTCAGTCTTCTCATAGTCCAAAGAGATCTGGATCATCTAGACATCCTGGAAAAATCATGTGCTAAAGTATCATGTTGATGACAGTTATGTTGATCAGTGCTGCAGACTGAAGGTTTGTGTCCCACCAAATTCATATATTGAAATCCCGACCCTTAATGTGATGGTATTAGCAAGTGGGGGCTTTGGCAAGTGATGAGATCATGAAGGCAAATACCTCATGGATGGGATTAGTACTCTTATAAAAGAGACCCTGAGAGCTTGATTCTTTTACCATTTGGGGACACTGAAAAGATGGCTGTCTGTAACTGTAAAGAGGGCCCTCACCAGAACTGGATCATGCTGGCACCCTGATTTTGCACTTCTCGCCTCCAGAATTGTAAGAAATAAGTTTCTGTTTATAAGCCACCCAGTTTGTAGTAATTTGTTACAGCAGCCTAAACTAAGACAATTAGGTGGAATGAACAAGAGGTGGGTAGCATACAGGAGGCCTTTATAAGACACACACACCTCAGAGGCTGGGAGATAAACCCTATGAGGATTCAGGGACTTGTCACATTCATGAAGTTTTAGGAGTCCAGTGGTCAATGGTATTCTGGGACATTCCCTCCAAAGTAAAAGATAAATTATTGCAGCTTCCACCTTCTACCACAAGGAAGAAAGTCCAATATCTGGTGGGCCCCTTGATCAGACAGTAGAAGAGGTAGGGAGCAGGCCTGAAGAGGCCATGTGTCATTTTCCAGGGAGGATCCATATGCATTGTCTTTTAGCATAAGGCAGTAATAGTTGAATGATCGGCTTAAAAAAGGGGGTGGGGAAAATGTACATTATGTAGCAAAATAATCTCATCATAGTGTCAAGTATCTAGAATATCTTAATCTTCGAAGCCATCAGTCTCTTTTTCTGAGTGCTAATTTGGACTTATCAGTTACCTTAATGAGGAGAAAGCATTAGGGAGTAATATGCCTCAATGAGGAGAAAGCATTAGGGAATAATATGCCTCAATTTAACCTACAAATGGACATTGTTTATAATTTTAGCTAATATTAATCTGTTACCATGTATTCACCATGGTTCCACAGAGAAACACAACTGGTAGGAGATTAAAATACATAATAATACATAACATACTAAATATATAATACATTGAAATACATAATGCCCATTTGCCCCTCCACCCTTTTTTTATGAGAGACAGAGATTTTTAAGGAATTGGCTTGTGTGCTTTTGGAGGCTGGCAAGTCCAAAATCTACAGCGTGGAAATTTAGGGGACAGTTAATGCTGGAGTTTGAGTCCAAAAGCAGTCTGCTGGCAGAATTCCCTTTTTCTGGGGGAGATAAGTCTTTTTCTTTTTATAATATATACATATATATTTTATTTATTTTTGAGATGGAGTCTTGCTCTGTTGCCGAGGCTGGAGTGCAGTTGTGGGATCTCGGCTCACTGCAACCTCCGCCTCCCGGGTTCAATAAATTCTCCTGCCTCAGCCTCCTGAGTAGCTGGGATTACAGGTGCCCGCCACCACGTCTGGCTAATTTTTGTATTTTTGTTAGAGACGGGGTTTCACCATGTTGGTCAGGCTGGTCTCGAACATCTGACCTCATGATCCGCCTGCCTCGGCCTCCCAAAGTGCTGGAATTACAGGCAGGAGCCACCGCGCCTAGCCTACATATATATTTTAACTGGACAGATAAATTATATGTATTCATCATGTACAACATGAAATTTTGAAGTATATATAAATTGTGGAGTGGTTAAATCTAGCAAATTAACAAATATATTACCTTACATAGTTACCATTTTTGTGGTGAGAACACCTAACATTCACTCTCTTTGCATTTTTCAAGAACTGTATATGTTGTCATTAACTATAGTTACCATGCTGTGCAATGCTCTTGAACTTATTCCTCCTATCTAACTATAATTAATAATGTATCCTTTGACCAATATTGCCCCAATTCTCCTTCCCCAACAACCACCCCAGCCTGTTAACCACAACTCTACTCTCTAATTCTATGAGATCAACTTTTTTAGATTACACATATTTTCTATGAAGGCCTTCAACTGATTGGATGAGACCTGCCCACATTATAGAGGGTAATCTCTTTTACTCAGTCTATTGATTTCAATATTAATCTCATTTAAGGTATACCTTTACACAAATTTCTAGAATAATGATTGACTAAATAACTAGGTACCATGGCCTAGCCATGTTGACATATAAAATTAACCATCACATCACAAAACATAGTTATCTTCCTTAGTCTGGACAACCCCTTCATTTTACAGATGAGAAAACATAGAAATGAAGTGACCTGCATCAGGCTCCGTGGCAAGATATTGACCAACTGGCACTCTTAACTCCTTCCATGATACCGTAATCTACAGATTCCCATATGGGAACATCTGGAATGTAAACATGTTCACTTTCTGCAGTTGAGTTACTTTCCTACTTTATAACGTTACTTATAGTACACATGTAGGTTCCCAACACAGGACTAACAATAGTCACAACAGACATAAAAACAAAAACCCACAATTTGTGAAATAATGGAATTCTTAGCTCACAGCCTATTTGAGGCTTTCTCTTCATCTAATTTATGGTAATACCTAGGAATATTAGCTATCCATATTTATATCAATCAACATTTGTGAATTTTGTTGTTGAACATATACTTAAAAACTGGCCATAAACACCAGCAGCTGCCCATGTGTCATTTCTAAGGTCAATAAATTATAAAGTAATACTGGTGACATTCAGTAGGTGATGTAGTCTATTTGAGTGTCTCTGTATCAGTAGCAATGCTTAAGTGCCTTGTTACATGTTGTCCTACTTTTTGGAAGGTGAGAGAGTTGTCCAACCTTTTTGAAAGGTGAAACACATGTTGGTCTCTTCCATAGGTTCTGCATATTGCTTCCATGGGAACAGAAGTACAACCACAGCCAGAGTGGTAGAATAATGATCTACATTTTTCTATACAAGTCCTAATCTTCCTCCTAATGTATCTATGTATATGTGTATCTAGGTACATGAATACATATGATTTTGCTTCTCCCTGCCTTTCTGTTTTGACACCAGTTGTATTTAAGTGAGCATTGTACTTTTAAAAGTGAAATGCTCACTTAAATATGAGTCGTGGCAAAACAGAAGCTCATCTGCTTTCTCTACTTCAATGCCTTTGTTAAAGAATAATCTCTACTCTGGTTCCTGACAACCTTAGCTTTAGTGATGTGGCTAAGTGTCCTATATCCTTAGACCTGAGGATGACAGTGGGCCAAACTCTGCATGTAAATGAGCGCTCCTCACAATCCTGTTTGTGTATTTCCCCAAAGCATATTTTATGATATGCCTTACCTATGTTCCAGATTTGTATGATGGTTCAATGTTTTTCTAAGGTTTTAAATTTTAAAGTGAAACATATTTATTGAAAACAATAGCAAAGAGTTAAGTTTAAAACAAAGTATGACATAGTTACATGAAATTCTCAAAATGTCCACCAGCAGGTGGCAATATAATCCTAAATATTACTGGTAATAAAAAATTACATTTATAGACGATGAAAATAATATTAAATCCATAGATTAAATTCAGTTTTACGCATATGATTTTTCTAGATGAAGAATTTTCTTTTTATGTCCACTTAAAAGCCATAAACTTCATTCATTTCATGACTTTAAAAATATATAGTAACATTAGAATACATCTTTAATAATAAAATCAAACTCAATTATATATATTGATTCTGAATTTATGAGAATTCATAAATTCTCCCATGTTCAGGCCATTTCAATTAAATAAGAATCTGAGGGTTCAATCTAGGTATTGGCAATTTTTTTTCTTCAATTTTAATGTTAAGTTCAGGGATACATGTGCAGGATGTGCAGATTTGTTACATAGGTAAACGTGTGGCATGGTGGTTTGCTGCACAGATGGTATTGGTAATTTTTAAAGCTCCTAGTGTGATTTTTAATCTGAAGCTAGGGTTAAAAGTCACTGGTTTAGATCAGTTCTTCTTAGTTGACCTCAGTGCACCTGGGCCGTTGTTGGCTTTCTTACCTCTCCAGTTGATGCTGACACACACTAAAGTTTGAGAATGGCTATATGCAAATATTGTTTATTTCAAAGGTTCAAAATACCTGCACTTAAATGTCTGGTCTTTATTCATTAGGAAAGTCCTTCTAAAATCAGGTGCTTTCCCCAACTAATTAAAAAATCGTAGACACTTTTGCAACTAGCTGCTAATGTTTGGATCTGAACACTTCTCTAACTTAAAGCACTAATATATATGTTATTAAATTATATTGTTTCGTTCTATAACATATATCATAAATTAAGCTTGTATACATGTATACAAAATGAAGTTAGTGAAAAGATTAATTTCTTCAAATATTCTGTAATTTTACTGAAATTTAGTTGGGTTTGTTTTTCACGTGTGGGACTAATTAAAGACTACCAAGGAGCTCATCTTAGTTTGGTTAACTTACAAAATAAAATCCAGAAATAGATGGAAATACCTTAGAGTAGAGATTTGCATGTTTTACTGTCTATTAGAATCATCTGGGAAGCTTTTAAAACTCCCAGGTACAGGCCACACTCATTTCAATGAAATAAGAATCTGAGGGTTTGATCTAGGTATTGATAATTTTTAAAGCTCCCAGTGTGATTCTAATCTGAATCTAGGGTTAAGAACTACTGGTTTAGATCAGTTCTTTTTAAAGGTGTAGGTCCATATACACCACCTGAAAATCTTGTTCACGTACGGATTTTCATTCAGTAGGATTGGGGCAGGTTCTGAGATCCTGTGTTTCTAACTACCTCCCAAGGTGATGATGCTGCTTAGCTCTTTTAAGTCAGTGGTTCTCAAAATTTTGTGTGTATCAGAATCACTTGTGAAAATCGGTAAAAAGTGGGGTCACACCTCAGTCAACTTCAATGTGCCTGGCCATTGTTGGCTTCATTACCTCTCCAGTTGATGCTGACACACACTAAAGTTTGAGAGTGACTGCTTTAAGACAGCTAGAATTCTTTAGTTTAGCAGTCCTGAAGATTGCACTTGAGCAGTTAGTTTCTCTGATAATAACATTAACGTTGGCTGGCAAGTTGTTTATCCTGGTTTGATGCTCTTTCCACTGGTTAGAAGGACCATCCACCTCCTCTAGTTGTAGAAATTCTATCTGCCTTTAAGGCCTGACACTAGTCAATTTGTCTAAGAAGTCTTTTTGATAATCATCTCAAATAGATTTGAACTCTCATCCACCTGTGGACGCCTGCATAGGCTCCTGTAGCACTTTTCTCTTCCATTAGTGTTAAAATTAAAACCAGAAGCCGAATTTTCCATTTTTATATGTCTTCCTTTACTCTGAAGTCTCCCTTGATAAGATTTGATTATTCCTGTTCTCACCTTGGTCTCTGTTGTATCCCTATTGATACTTGAAGTCATGAATATTTATCATCTGATATGTGGAATAAATATTCTGTCTGGGGAAGAGTTATCACTTGATTTTGGCTGCAGCTTGTTACATATGCTTCATAAACATGGACAATGTGGGTCTTCTATGCCACCATATTCACTATATCTTGCATATAGTGGATATTCAAATGTTGCCATTGGCTTGATGAATGGCAGGAATGGAAAGAAATGAGAATGAAGCCATGAAGGCATTTGATGGGGTGATAGAGATTTAAGAGTTGATCTTGTAACCATCATGACTAAATTTGTCAATAAGAAGGTGGCATAATTCTTTTCTTAATTTTAATTTTTTAAAATATAGAAACTTTCGTAACAACAGGATGAACTGAAGTGAGAAGAGACAGAAGGCAGAGGGTTCTATTAGGAGGATGTCATAATAATCAAGATCAGATTACACACCAAAGTATGAGATACAATTTATATGGTTTGGCTGTGTCCCTACCAAATCTCATCTTGAATTGCAGTTCCCATAATCCCCACATGTTGTGGGAGGGACCCGGTGGGAGGTAATTGAATCATAGGGGTGGTTGCCTTCATGCCGTTCTTGTGATAGAGAGTGAGTTCTCACAACATCTGATGGTTTTTTAAGGGGCTTTCCCTCCCTTCACTCTACACTTCTCCTTGCTGTCGCCATGTGAAAGAAGGATGTGCTTGCTTTCCCTTCTGCCATGATTGTAAGTTTCCTGAGGCCTTCCCAGCCCTGCAGAACTGTGAGTCAATTAAATCTCTTCCCTTTATAAATTACTCAGTCTCAGGTATTTCTTCATAGCAGCGTGAGAACAAAACTAATACAACAAGTTAGCCCCCATTTCATTGAGTACCTACTATGTACTGAATATAATGGGAAGTGATTATTATACATTATCTTTTATCGTTATAAAAATGCCACATGGCATATAGTCTCAATTTACAGATGATAAAAATCTAGGCTCAAAGAGGTGAAGTAACTTGTCAGAAGTCAAACATGAGAATTAAAACTTGAATCCCAGACTGTCCAACTCCAAAATCTTACACTGCAGCAATGGGAATGATGGGGATGGAACAAAGAGGGAAGGTTCTGAGATACTTTTATTTTGGGTAGAATTGACTAAATGATATCACCAATTCGGGCTTCTGAAAAGCAGAATGAGGAAGGAAGAAATAATATTTTATGTAATACTACTATAATTATTTACCTTTTGCTGCCAGCTGTGATTATAAATGCCATTATGTAGTGAGGGTCGATGTGATATGATCTGGCTGTTTAAGACCTTGGTTACAAATTGCTAGGAAGAATGACCCAGGAGAAACAAAGAGAACCTAGCAGTTACATCAGACTCTGGTTCAGCCTCTCTCGTCATTTTTCTGGTTCTCTTAGTGTAATTTTCTAATAGATTAGACACACTGTAAAATAAAGGCAAGCAGCTGGAAGAAAAAGAGCTTTTGCTAATATTTAGTGTGGGAGGTGGGTGTGAGGTAATCTCTTATGACTCCATTTTTATGTACCTATTAAAATGCAGTGTTTTTAGAAAAACTTAGACAATAAGTGTGCATTCCAGTACATTTTCAAATAATGAAGTTACAGCTTGAAAGATCAACAATAGGGTATTTATTCATATTGCATAAAATAAAAAACTCTACCTACTTTCTACTTGTATAGTCTAAATCAATTTAATCCTATTAGAATGGGAGAAAGCATGATATAACTCCAGATAATAAAAATGGATTGAAATTTCTGATAACTATAGTTTGTCTGTAGTTTTTAAAATACTATTGCAAATTGGAAGGCCCCCACTCCCCTCCCCTCCCTCCCTCCCTTCCTTCCTTCCTCTTTCTCTCTCTCTTTCTCTCTCTCTTTCTTTTTCTTTCTTCTTCTCTCTTTCTCTTCTCTCTTTCTTTCTCTTTCCCTTCTTTCTTTTCTTCTTTTTGTTCATTCGTTTTTTTTCTTTAGTTCCTGTACAATAGCACCACAAAAATGACCCTAGAGATCATCTTTTTGCACACCTATTGTATTCATGCACATCAAACTGCTTCAGTATATGTAGTACCTAAAACTCAGCATAACCATAGAAACTAATAAAAGGAAGAAATGTTTCATGCTACTCAAGGGTATTCTGTATCCTTTCCAATTTGCTTAATTTTGTCATCGCTTTTGTTTTTTAAAATTATTTTGCATATTCTGAAGAAAAGGTCTTAGAAAATATGCAAAGCATAGAGGAAGGATTCCCTATAATTTTGCTATTCAGTGCCAACTACTGATAACGTGTTCTAAGTAACTTTGGAATGCAAATATATGGACTTGCTCACCCAATTTTGTAATGGAGTACATATTACCTGATTTTGTAATTGATACTGTGTAGGAGAGTGTTGAAAATTGTTGGAAGGGAGGCATACTGACATGGATATTGAGTGTGAAACCAGAAGACTCAACAGAGAATTATATTTATTTCACTGGAGGGCCCAAGGGACATGTTCACCATCAGGAATGCACTGGTGAGAGGGAAACCAGCATCATTTAAAAATGTGTGGTGACTCTTCTCTGGCCACCAGGATTGACAGTAGAAAAGTAGGCATAGAGCTGGGTTTTTAATTGAAATGTGGATAATGGGGTCACAAAACAATAGAGATTGGTGGTGCTTAACAGAAGCCAGATTACTGTAATGGTCAGCAAGTTTGGAAAGGCAGTCCTCAAAGTAGACTGATCAAGAGGGAATTGCAGAGATGGATAATAGAACATGGTGTCTCCATGGGCAAACTACGTAGGCAGCCATCAAGGTGCAGTTAAACATGTTAAAAGAAGAAGAAAGCAGAATCAATGAGTGACAGACTGACATTACTTAACCTCCACAAACAAGTCACGGTATCTCTCTCAGAATCTGGACTTCATCCATTTCATAGCCCTGGAATCTGTTGACTGAAGAGGTGGTCAGGATAAGTTTGCCAACTAAAATATAGGATGCCTAATTAAGTGTGAATTTAAGATAAACAGTGAATAATATTTTAGTATTTGTTCTATTTTATAGTATACTTATAAAATACTTATCTTTTATATATATATATATTTTATTATACTTTAAGTTCTAGTGTACATGGGCAAAACATGCAGGTTTGTTACATATGTATACATGTGCCATGTTGGTGTGCTGCACCCATTAACTCATCATTTACATTAGGTATATCTCCTAATGCTATCCCTCTCCCCTCCCGCAACCCCACAACAGGCCCTGGTGTGTGATGTTCCCCTTCCTGTGTCCAAGTGTTCTTGTTGTTCAATTCCCACCTATGAGTGAGAACATGTGGAGTTCGGTTTTTAGTCCTTGAGATAGTTTGCTGAGAATGATGGTTTCCAGCTTCATCCATGTCCCTACAAAGGACATGAACTCATCCTTTTTTATGTCTGCATAGTATTCCATGGTGTATATGTGCCACATTTTCTTAATCCAGTCTATCATTGATGGACATTTGGGTTGGTTCCAAGTCTTTGCTATTGTGAATAGTGCCGCAATAAACATACATGTGCATGTGTCTTTATAGCAACATGATTTATAATCCTTTGGGTATATATCCAGTAATGGGATGGCTGGGTCAAATGGTATTTCTAGTTCTAGATGCCCGAGGAATCACCACACTGACTTCCACAATGGTTGAACTAGCTTACAGTCCCGCCAACGGTGTAAAAGTGTTCCTATTTCTCCACATCCTCTCCAGCACCTGTTGTTTCCTGACTTTTTAATGATCGCCATTCTAACTGGTGTGAGATGGTATCTCATTGTGGTTTTGATTTGCATTTCTCTGACGGCCAGTGATGATGAGCATTTTTTCACGTGTCTGTTGGCTGCATAAATGTCTTCTTTTGAGAAGTGTCTGTTCATGTCCTTCACACACTTTTTGATGGGGTTGTTTGTTTTTTTCTTGTAAATTTGTTGGAGTTCTTTGTAGATTCTGGATATTAGCCCTTTGTCAGATGAGTAGATTGCAAAAATGTTCTCCCATTCTGTAGGTTGCCTGTTCACTCTGATGGTAGTTTCTTTTGCTGTGCAGAAGCTCTTTAGTTTAATTAGATCCCATTTGTCAATTTTGGCTTTTGTTGCCATTGCTTTTGGTGTTTTAGTCATGACATCCTTGCCCGTGCCTATGTCCTGAATGGTATTGCCTAGGTTTTCTTCTAGGGTTTTTAAGGTTTTAGGTCTGATGTTTAAGTCTTTAATCCATCTTGAATTAACTTTTGTATAAGGTGTAAGGAAGGGATCCAGTTTCAGCTTTCTACATATGGCTAGCCAGTTTTCCCAGCACCATTTATTAAATAGGGAATCCTTTCCCCATTGCTTGTTTTTCTCAGGTTTGTCAAAGATCAGATGGTTGTAGATGTGTGGTGTTATTTCTGAGGCCTCTATTCTGTTCCATTGGTCTATATCTCTGTTTTGGTACCAGTACCATGCTGTTTTGGTTACTGTAGCCTTGTAGTATAGTTTGAAGTCAGGTAGAATGATGCCTCCAGCTTTGTTCTTTTGGCTTAGGATTGACTTGGCAATGAAGGCTCTTTTTTTGGTTCCATATTAACTTTAAAGTAGTTTTTTCCAATTCTGTGAAGAAAAAATACTTATCTTCAAATACTTATGCTAAAAACTATTTATCTGAAATGTGAATTCATCTTAGTGGCCTGTATTTTTTTTTTGCTAAATTTGGCAAACCTACCCCTGAAGAAAGAATCTTGCAATATCACAAGAAGTCATAACAAATGTCTCCTGTGATGAGTCCTCTGATCTTTCCCCGGAGAGCCCCATGGCTTTTACTTAGGGGACTGTGCACTAGACATTCTGAGGAATATCGGACACAGAAGTTGGGTTGGCACAGATCGCTGGAGACCAGAAGCCTCACGTTGGCTCCCTATCTGATGGCTGTTTCTTTGGAATTGGAATGTATAAGTGGGATTGATATACAGAGCAGTTGGAGTAACCACCACATTTGGCCCTTGGACTTTTGGGGAGAAGACCAAGTGGGGGCCTCTGAAACTGCATGGATTCCTTGGCATCCTCTACCTTCTACCAAGATAGCTAAACAAAAAGATTACATCTGGCATCTCAAGAGATATGATAGAGATTAATACCACCTTTAAAGATCGTAAGGATGCAGGAGTGTTGGTCCTCATCTGTTTAATTCTCTTGTTTTTCATCCATAGATGCTGATAGATGCTGATAGATCCTCAAGAAAGATTATAGATTACCATAAGTTTAACTAAGTATTAGCCCTGATTGCTGCTGCTGTGTTGGGTGCGGAATCATTGGTAGAGATAGTTAATAAAGGCTTAGGTACATGGTAAGCAGACAGTGATTTGGCAAATGTGTTCTTTTTTACCCCAATCAGAAAAGAGTATCATAAACTGTTTGCATTCACATGGAATTGGCAAAAATGTACACAATAGCTTTGTCCCAGGGCCTCCTCTGTCACAATGTAGTCGGAAGAGATTTGAACCTTGTAAACACTCCACAGGAATGTTTATAGGCCTTCCCCCAAAAAAGGCCAAGGACCCGGTGTGGTGGTTACTCCAGCTGCTCTGTATATCAGTCCCATTTATGCATTCCAATTCCAAAGAAATAGCCATCAGATAGGGAGCCAACATGATGCTTCTGGTCTCTATTTACACTGATGACATCATGTTGATAAAGTGAGATGAGCAAGATGTGGATAGCACAGTGGAGTCCATGATAAGAAATTTGCATTCCAGAGCATGAAAGATAAACCTTTCAAAGATTCAGTAAACTACCACTCAAGTAGAACTTTTAAGGGTCCAGTGGTCAGGGTCATGCTGGGATGTAAGTGTAAGATAATTAGCTGCATATTGCCTCCTTAATCACTAAAAAGAAGCACAGTATCTGTTAGCCCTCTTTGAATTCTAGGGCAACACATTTCATACTTAGCAGTTATATTTTAAGCCAAATACAGGGTGACCCAGACATCTTCCAGCATTTAGTAGGATCTGTGTAGGATATGTATTTGCAGCAGGTCCAGGCTGGGTACAATCAGCCCTGCTGCTTGGGTCATGAGTTAGCAGACCCTGTGGTTTTGGAGGTATCCATTGTGGGAAAAGATGCAGCATGGGGTTTATGGCAAAGCTCAGTGGGAGAATTACAATGTAGGCCTTGAGTGTCTTCAGCAGGACCATGTTTTCTGCAGTGGAGATTTTTATGCCTGTCAAGAAATAGCTCCTTCTGTGTTACTGGGCCCTGGTGAAGAAGAAACATATGACCATTTTTTTTCACCCTATGACCATGCTTTCAGAACTGGCTATTATAATCTGATTCTGTTGGACCTACCAAGTTGTAACATTGAGTGGGCCCAGCAGCAGTCCCTCTTCAGATGTAAATGGCACATCCAAGCTTGAGCCCAAGCTGGACAAAAGCACTTGAGTCAGTTATGTGAGCAGGTACTCCAGATCATCACGTCAATTTCAAGGTTGGCATTGGCACCATCCTTTAGCTTGTACCTACGAATTATGAGTTCTGCATAATAAGTTGATGGAGGAGAACTGATTGGTTTGTGAATTGGTTGTATTGGTAAATGGGTACAATCTAAAAATGAATGGCAGGTACTCTTTAGCCACACTTATGGGTGAACTTGACATACAGTGGCAGGAAAAAAGTTCCCTGATTGTGGAACTTTGAGCATCAAACTTGATTATTACCTTTGTGTGGAAAAAGTGGCCTGAGGTGAGAATATGAATATATGTATGTGTGTATGTACATACATGTGTACATACTCCTTGACACTAGGGAATGATCTTGCTGGCTGGTCAGAAGCCTAAAAGGAAAAGAACTGAAAGATCGTATACAAGGGAGTGTGTGATGGAGACATGTGGATGGACAGATAGGATTGGGTGTGAAGTGTGAAGATTTTTATATCACATATAATGCCCACCAGAAAATGTGTCCATTGCAGAAGAGACAATGAATAACAAAGTAGATCAAATGTTTTGATCAGTTGGCATTAGCCAGCCTTGTCATTGGTCACCCTGAACTGGAAGGGTAGGCACATAAATGGAGTGGCCATTTATGTGGGCAGGGATGGTGGCTGAAAATGGAATCAATGGTATGACTTTCATTTACCAATTACTCCATGAATGCATACGGAGAAGTGGATCTGTTCAGAGCTGCAGTGGTTAGTGGCAGCCATGGAGGCTCATTGCTCAGAAATTCTTTTAAGGAAAAAACGTGCTAATTAGTTGTGAGGAACATAACTTACAGTCCCTTCTTATGGATTGTCAGGGTATTTGAGCTACAGACACCATCTCTTCCCAGGCAGCCCCAACCAATGACTGGGCTTTGTGAGGACAAAAGGGTTTGACACTTCCTGTCCAACAAGACTCTTTTTTTTTTCCTTTTTTTAATTATTATTATACTTTAAGTTTTAGGGTACATGTGCACAATGTGCAGGTTAGTTACATATGTATACATGTGCCATGCTGGTGTGCTGCACCCATTAACCCATTATTTAGCATTAGGTATATGTCCTAATGCTATCCCTACCCCTCCCCCCACCCCACAACAGTCCCCAAAGTGTGATGTTCCCCTTCCTGTGTCCATGTGTTCTCATTGTTCAATTCCCATCTATGAGTGTGAACATGCAGTGTTTGGTTTTTTGTCCTTGCGATAGTTTACTGAGAATGATGATTTCCAATTTCATGCATGTCCCAACAAAGGACATGAACTCATCATTTTTTTATGGCTGCATAGTATTCCATGGTGTATATGTGCCACATTTTCTTAATCCAGTCTATCATTGATGGACATTTGGGTTGGTTCCAAGTCTTTGCTATTTTGAATAGTGTCACAATAAACATACGTGTGCATGTGTCTTTATAGCAGCACGATTTATACTCCTTTGGTTATATACCCATTAATGGGATGGCTGGGTCAAATGGTATTTCTAGTTCTAGATCCCTGAGGAATCGCCACACTGACTTCCACAATGCTTGAACTAGTTTACAGTCCCACCAACAGTGTAAAAGTGTTCCTATTTCTCCACATCCTCTCCAGCACCTGTTGTTTCCTGACTTTTTAATGATCGCCATTCTAACTGGTGTGAGATGGTATCTCATTGTGGTTTTGATTTGCATTTCTCTGACGGCCAGTGATGATGAGCATTTTTTCATGTGTCTTTTGGCTGCATAAATGTCTTCTTTTGAGAAGTGTCTGTTCATATCCTTTGCCCACTTTTTGATGGGGTTGTTTTTTTCTTGTAAATTTGTTGGAGTTCATTGTAGATACTGGATATTAGCCCTTTGTCAGATGAGTAGGTTGTGAAAATTTTCTCCCATTTTGTGGGTTGCCTGTTCACTCTGACGGTAGTTTCTTTTGCTGTGCAGAATCTCTTTAGTTTAATTAGATCCCATTTGTCAATTTTGGCTTTTGTTGCCATTGCTTTTGGTGTTTTAGACATGGAGTCCTTGCCCATGCCTATGTCCTGAATGGTAATGCCTAGGTTTTCTTCTAGGGTTTTTATGGTTTTAGGTCTAACGTTTAAGTCTTCAATCCATCTTGAATTAATTTTTGTATAAGGTGTAAGGAAGGGATCTAGTTTCAGCTTTCTACATATGGCTAGCCAGTTTTCCCGGCACCATTTATTAAATAGGGAATCCTATTTAATAGGACAAAAGCACTTGTCCTATTATTCCCCATTGCTTGTTTTTCTCAGGTTTGTCAAAGATCAGATAGTTGTAGATAAGTGGCGTTATTTCTGAGGGCTCTGTTCTGTTCCATTGATCTATATCTCTGTTTTGGTACCAGTACCAAGCTGTTTTGGTTACTGCAGACCTGTAGTATAGTTTGAAGTCAGGTAGCGTGATATCTCTAGCTTTGTTCTTTTGGCTTAGGATTGACTTGGCAATGCGGGCTCTTTTTTGGTTCCATATGAACTTTAAAGTAGTTTTTTCCAATTCTGTGAAGAAAGTCATTGGTAGCTTGATGGGGATGGCATTGAATCTATAAATTACCTTGGGCAGTATGGCCATTTTCACAATATTGATTCTTCCTACCCATGAGCATGGAATGTTCTTCCATTTGTTTGTATCCTCTTTTATTTCATTGAGCAGTGGTTTTTAGTTCTCCTTGAAGAGGTCCTTCACGTCCCTTGTAAGATGGATTCCTAGGTATTTTATTCTCTTTGAAGTAATTGTGAATGGGTGTTCACTCATGATTTGGCTCTCTGTCTGTTATTGATGTATAAGAATACTTGTGATTTTTGTACATTGATTTTGTATCCTGAGACTTTGCTGAAGTTGCTTATCAGCTTAAGGAGATTTTGGGCTGAGACAATGGGGTTTTCTAAATATACAATCATGTCGTCTGCAAACAGGGACAAACACCTCTATGCAAATAAACTAGAAAATCTAGAAGAAATGGATAAATTCCTCTACACATACACTCTCCCAAGACTAAACCAGGAAGAAGTTGAATCTCTGAATAGACCAATAACAGGATCTGAAATTGTGGCAATAATCAATAGCTTACCAACCAAAAAGAGTCCAGGACCAGATGGATTCACAGCCGAATTCTACCAGAGGTACAAGGAGGAACTGGTACCATTCCTTCTGAACCTATTCCAATCAATAGAAAAAGAGGGAATCCTCCCTAACTCATTTTATGAGGCCAGCATCATCCTGATACCAAAGCCAGGCAGAGACACAACCAAAAAAGAGAATTTTAGACCAATATCCTTGATGAATATTGATGCAAAAATCCTCAATAAAATACTGGCAAACCAAATCCAGCAGCACATCAAAAAGCTTATCCACCATGATCAAGTGGGCTTCATCCCTGGGATGCAAGGCTGGTTCAATATATGCAAATCAATAAATGTAATCCAGTGTGTAAACGGAACCAAAGACAAAAAACCACATGATTATCTCAATAGATGGAGAAAAGGCCTTTGACAAAATTCAACAACGCTTCATGCTAAAAACTCTTAATAAATTAGGTACTGATGGGACGTATCTCAAAATAGTAAGAGCTATCTATGACAAACCCACAGCCAATATCATACTGAATGGGCAAAAACTGGAAGCATTCCCTTTGAAAACTGGCACAAGACAGGGATGCTCTCTCCCACCACTCCTATTCAATATAGTGTTGGAAGTTCTGGCCAGGGAAATTAGGCAGGAGAAGGAAATAAAGGGTATTCAATTAGGAAAAGAGTAAGCCAACAAGACTCTTTTACCACGAGTCTTTGCTTAGAGCTCCTAATGAGCTTTCCAGAGCTGTACCTTGATCTGAGGCTTTTCCTACCCAATGCTCCTTTTCTCTCCCTTTCTTTTCACAAGTTTTAGAACTGTATCACTCTCTGAAGATTTTCCTTGCCTACTCCTGCTCCCTTTCTGCTTTATTTTTCATAGACACTACCTCCGGTGAGTCTCTTTCCCTTCTATTTTCTCCTGGGTATCTGCTTCCTGGAGGACCCAATAAATGCAGAGACTTTTCAGGTTTTCATTATTGTAACAAGGAATACAATTTTAATCTTCAAAATACATAAATTTGAATAATTCTGTTCTCTATTGTTTGGATTAAGCATATTATTACATGGTACATTTTCACCCTAAATCTGAAATGTACCGAGTAGAGGCATACCTTGGAGATATTGCAGATTTAGTTCCAGATCACTGCATAAAACAAATCTTGCATTAAAGTGAGTCACAAAAATTTTTTAGTTCCTAGTGCATATAAAAGTTATGTTTATACTATAGTTTATTAAAAGGGCAATAGCATTATGTCTATAAAACAATGTACATACCTCAGTTAAAAATACTTTATTGCTAAAAAATGCTAATGATCATGTGAGTCTTCAGTGAGTCATAATTTTTTTGTTGGTGGAGGATCTTGCCTCAGTGTTGATGGCTGCTGACTGATCAGGGTGGTGGTTACTGCAGGTCGGGTGGCTGTGGCAATTTCTTAAAATAAGGGGACAATAAAGTTTGCTATATCGATTGACTTTTTCTCATGAAAGATTTCTCTGCAGTGTGTATGCTGTTTGACAACATCTTACCCATAGTACAACTACTTTCAAAATTGGAGTCAATCTTCTCAAACTCTGCTGTTAGTCTATCAACTAAATTTATGTAATGTTCTAAATCCCTTGTCATTTCAACCACGTTCACAGCATATTCATCAGGAATAGATTCCGTTTCAAGAAATCACTTTCTTTGCTTATCTATAAGAAGCAACTCTTCTTCTGTTCAGGATTTATCGAGATTGTAGCAATTCAGTCACATCTTCAGGCTCAGCTGCTAATCCTAGCTTTCTTGCTATTTCCACCACATGTGCAGTTATTTCCTTCTCTGAAGCCTTAAACTCTTCAGGAGCTAAGATTCTATGAGGGTTGGAATCAACTCCTTCCAATCTCCTGTTAATGCTGATATTTTGACCTCTTCCCATTAATCATGAATGGTATCTAGAATGGTAAGTTAATTCCAGAAGGCTTTCATTTTACTTTACCAAGATCCATCAGAGGAGTCACAATCCATGGCAGCTATATAAAATGTAGCTATATCATAAAATGTATTTCTTAAATAGTAAGACTTAAAAGTTGAAATTACTACTTAATCCATGAGCTGCAGAATGGATGTTGTTTTAGCAGGCATGAAACCAACATGAATATTTTTGTACATCTCTGTCAGAGCTCCTGGGTGACTAGATACATAATCAAAGAGCAGTGATATTCTGAAAGGAATCTTTTTTTTTTTTTCTGAGCAGTAGCTTTCAACAGTCATCTTAAAATATTCAGTATATCTTGCTATAAAGAGATGTGCTATAATCTAGGTGTTGTTTTTCTATTTACAGAGCACAGGCGGAGTACTGACTTAGCATAATTTTTAAAGATTTTTAGAATGGTAAAAAAAATTGGGTTTAACTTAAAAGTCACAAGCTGCATTAGCCCTTAACCAGAGACTCAGCCTGTCCATTGAAGCTTTCAAGTTTTGATGCCTTGAAGAGAGGCGTTGACTTTTTTTGTCTAGCTGTAAGTCTTACATGACATCTTCTTCCAATAGAAGGTTTTCTGTCTACATTGAAAATCTGTTGTTGAATGTAATCAGCTTCATCAATTATCTTAGCTAGATCTTCTGGATAACTTGCTGCAGCTTCTCCATCAGCACGTACTGCTTCACCTTGGACTTTTATTATAAAAATGACTTCTTTCCTTAAACCTCATGAACCAACTTCTGCTAGTTTCCAGCTTTTCTTCTGTAGTTTCCTCACCTATCTCAGCCTTCACAGAGTGCAGAGAGTTAGGGCTTTGCTCTGGATTAGGCTTTGGCTTGAGGGAATGTCGTGGCTCATTTGATTTTTTATTTAAACTACTAAAATTTTCTTCACATCAGTGATAAGGTTGTTTTGCTTTCTTATCATTCGTGTTCACTGGGATAGCACTTTCCATTTCCTTCAAGAACTTTTCCTTTGCTTTCACAACTTGGTTAACTGCTTGGCACAAGAGTTCTAGCTTTTGGCCTGCCTTAGCTTTCAGTATACGTTCTTTACTAAGCATAATTATTTCTAGCTTTTGATTTAAAGAGAGAGAGAGGCATGACTCTTTCACTTGAATACTTACAGGCCATTGTAGGGTTGTTAATTGGCTAGTTTCAGTATTGTTTTGTCTCAGGTAATAGGAGATCTGAGGAGAGGGAAAAAGATGGCAGAATGACCAATTGGTGAAGCAGTTAGAATACATACAACACTTATTAAATTCCCTGCCACAAATAGGCTTGGTGTGTGGAGCCCCCAAACGATTACAATAGTACAAACAAAGATAACTGGCCCCAGATCACCATAACAGATAAAATAATCATGGAAAAGTTTGAAATATTGCGTGGATTACTAAAATGTGACAGAGATACAAAATGAGCACATGCTGTTGGAAAAATGGCACCAAAAGACTTGCTTGATGCAAGAATGCCACATGCCTTCAATTTGTAATAAACATAAAATCTGTGAAGCACTATAAAGTGAAGCACAATGAAATGAAGTCTGCCTGTATTTACGTAAATCATTCACAAAACTATATTTGAGCATGTCAACATAACATCTTAGTATAACAATTCTACAAAGTGGTAAATTATGACATTAATTATGATATAAATTCCTACTAGTTAAATGTGTCTCTATTCTATGACATATCCAGATAATACAGACAGATGTGTCAAGTAGTAAAAATATCCAATGATTGTAGAGTGCATCATGGAAACTTTAAATGCAGCCTCAATGTAGTTTGAATGTATTCATGAATCTTTTGCTATATGAATGCTTGACTTAATAGGTACTCCATAAGTATTTGGTGAATGAATGAGTGCATAAAATAATTGGCATATAGCAATTGGCCAAACGAGATTTCTTAGAAGTGTTAATGTAGAATCAGATTTAGATTTTTTTTACTGAAATTATGTAATAACTTGACTAAAATTCTGTAATAATTATAAATCATTTTAAAATAGTAATTTTCAGCATAATTCATTCAGTAGCCATTTCACACAAATCTGTTTGCCTTTGGTTCCAATTATCATGGCTTTTTCCCTTACTTTCAGGTTGTTTCTTACTATTTCCTATTAGTAGTTTCTTACTATTTCCTATTAATGTTAGATTCAGCATACTGAATTATCCCTCATCGATTTCCTTACTGCCTGCCCCACTTTAATAAGTAGTTCTCTTTTAAAAATATCAAGTTCATTTCATTCACCCCCTTGGAGTATGATATCCATTTCTTGCTGGGACCTTGACTTATTTAATACTGAATGGAAGCAGAGCAGCCAGAAAAGATCCCAATATGCTGTCAGAAAAGATAATGACAAAAGGGCACCTGTTTTTAACAAAGTCCAGATGGAAGGACTGTTCACATTCTACCAAAGTATTAAGATTGGTAGAATGATCCAAGGCGAGGATTTTAAGACATATGGCAAAGAAACTTCGTGGAGAAATTCTGTAGGAAAGTGTTGACATAGTATAGCAAGTCAGGTTTTCTGGAAGTAGTTATAGCGAGAAAGTTTAGAATGTAAGATATGTATTAGGGGTCAACATCAATGAAAGGAAGGAAGAGGAAGCAGGATTAGGTAGAGGAAGAAATTGAGTCTGCCTTACAGTTCAGAAAAATTGTGGCTAACACAAAGGGGAGCACCGGAACAAGTACTGTCTATCAATACAGCCTAGGTCAACTCAAAATAATTGGGCCTCGTTCAGTCATGGGATGCAGGCTGCCCCAGGAGAAACATGACCTTGGGGTAAGTCAGCTCTTTTAGGGATTGTCTTGGCTACAGAAAGCTGGGAGGCTGTGTGTGGACAATATTCTCCATAGCTGGCTAGCATGTCCTTACTCAAAGGGGGATTTGGTGGGGATGGCTAATCTCTATGTCTGCATGCATGCATAAAGAATGTTGGCAGTCTTTGGTGTCTAGCATTGTCTCTCAGCTGCCATTTTTTTTTGAGTTAAAATCTGTTGTATGTAAATTATAAGTGTGCAGTTCAATGTGTTTTGACAAATGTAAGTACCCTTGTAATAAAAGAATTCCAGATAAGATATAGGACGTTTTCATCACCCCCGAAAATTTCTTCTTTCCACTTCCTGCTCAATCCTTTATCTTTTATATATTGTTTACTTAGTCCAATATGATGTTTTTGAGATTCATACACTTGTGTATTTTGGTAGTTAATTTTTATTGCTGAGTAGTGTTCTATTGAATGAATGCACCAAAATTTGTCCATTCTACCTACAGCTGATAAACATTTGATACTTGTTTTATTGTATTAATTTTTAAACTTTTATGAATAAATTAGTAATGGATAAACACGTATAAGAATTTTTGTGGACACAAGTTTTCATTTCTCTTGGGTAAATATCTGCAGAATTGTTGTGCCATATGGTAAATGCATGTTTAACCTTGTAAAGAAACTGCAGAATTATTTTCAAGTGGTTGTATGAGTCTGCATTCTCTAGAAGGGTTATATGTCTGTCTTTCAAATTTAGATTTCTTGATTTATCTCAAATTATTATTTTTTGCAATTTATCCTTATTCTTTTTTTGGTTAAGCTTAGACCGAATTTATAAGCTATACTTTTTTTTTTTAACAATAATTTCAACTTTTATTTTAGATTCAGGAGATACATATGCAAGTTTGTTACCTGAGTATATTATGTGATGCTGAGGTTTGGGGTATGATTGATCCTGTCACCAAGGTACTGAGCATAGTACCCAATAATAGTTTTTCAACTCTTTCTTCCCTAATTCCCCGCCTAGTAGTCCCCACTGCCTATTGTTGGCATCTTTATGTTCTTGAGTACCCATTTTTTAGTTCCCAGTTGTTAAGTGAGAACATGCAGTATTTAGTTTCCTGTATCTGCATTAATTCATTTAGGATAATGGTCTCCAGCTGTATCCATGTTGCTGCAAAAGACATGATTTTTTAAAGTGGCTGCATTGTATTCCATGGTGCCTATGTACCACATTTTCTTTATGAAATCTACAGTTGATGGGTACCTAGGTTGACTCCATGTCTTTGCTGTTGTGAATAGCACTTTAATAAACATATGCATGCATATGTTTTTGGTACAATGATTTATTTTCTCTTGGCTGTATACCCAGTAATGGATTGAATGGTAGTTCTGTTTTAAGTTCTTCGAGAAATCTCCAAGCTGCTTTCCACAGTGGCTGAACTAGTGTACATTCCCACCAACAGTGTATAAGCATTCCCTTTTCTCCACAGCCTCACCAGCATCTGTTGTTTTTTTACTTTTAGTAATAGCCATTCTGACTGGTGTGGGATGGTATCTCATTGTGGTTTTAATTTGCAGTTCTCTGATGATTAGTGATGTGGAGCATTTCATCATGTTTGTTGGCCACTTGTATGTCTTCTTTTGAGAAGTGTCTGTTCATGTCTATCATCTATTTTTTAATGGGGTTGGTTTTTGCTTGTTCAGTTGTTTCAGTTTCTTCTAGATTCTTATAGATGGTAGGTTATTGTCAGTTGCAGAGTTTGTGAATATTTTCTCCAATTCAGTAGGTTGTCTGTTTATTCTGTTGATAGTTTCTTTTGCTCTATAGAAGCTCTTTAGTTCAATGAGGTCCCACATGTCAATTTTCATTTTTGTTGCTTTTGAAGACTTAGTCATAAATTATTTCCCAGGGAAGATGTCCAGAGTGGTGTTTCCTAGGTTTTCTTCTAGGATTCTTATAGTTTGCAATCTTGCATTTAAATCTTTAATCCATTTTGAGTTAATTTTTATAAATGGTGAAAGAGAGGGATCCAGTTTCATTTTTCTGCATACAGCTAGCCAACTATCTCAGTATAATTATTGAATAGGGAGTCCTTTCTCCATTGCTTATTTTTGTCAATTTTGTTCAGGATCAGATGACTGTAGGTGTGTGACTTTTTTCTGGGTTCTCAAATTTGTTCTGTCAGTCTATGTGTCTGTTTTGTACAAGTACCATGCTGTTTTGGTTAGTGTAGCCTTATAGTATTGTTTGAAACCGGGTAGTGTGATGCCTCCAGCTTTGTTCTTTTTGCTTAAGATTGCTTTGGCTATTCAGGCTCTTTTTTGGCTCCATAGAATTTTATTTTATTTTTTTAAATTTATTTTTTATTTCAATAGGTTTTTGGGGAACAGGTGATGTTTTGTTACATGAATACGTTCTTTAATGGTGATTTCTGAGATTTTGGTGCACCCAAGCAGTGTACACTGTACCACATGTGTAATCTTTTATCCCTCATCCCCTCCCACCCTTTCCCCTGAGTCCCCAAAGTTCATTGTATCATATCATTCTTACACCTTTGTGTCCTCATAGCTTAGCTTCCACTTATAAGTAAGAACATATGATGTTTGGTTTTCCATTCCTGAGTTACTTCATTTAGCATAATAGTCTCCAGTTTCATCCAGATTTCTGTGAATGCCACTATTTCATTCCTTTTTATGGCTGAGTAGTATTCCATGATCTAGATATATAATGGAATATATATATATATATATATATATAAACATTTTCTTTATATCTAAAAGGTGTTCAAACCTACCAGTATTTAGAAATTCCCCAAAACAGATATAATTCATCATTATTTGCAGAAAACAAATAGAATTAAGAGTCATGCTGTGTGAGTATATGTGTGTGAGTTTCTTTTTAAAAGTGCTTTAGATTGAGGATCTGTAGACTTTTTATTAAAGGTCAGGTTTTTAGGTTAGGTTTTTTTTGGCCATTTGGCCTCTGTTGTAACTCCTCAATTCTGCCATGTTAGTCTGAGAGCAGCCATAAACAATACATAAATGAATAGACATAGCTGCATTCCAATAAAGCTGTTTTACAAAATAGACACTGGCCCACAAGCTGTAGTTTGCTGACCCCTGCTTTAAATAATATATAGATTTGACATAAAAATTTTAAATATCATAATGGTTTATATGATGTGTCGACTTGACTGGCCACAGGATGTTCAGATTAAACACTATTTCTGGATGTGTTCATGAGTGTGTTTCCAGATGATTAGCATTTGAACGCATGGATTCAGTAAAGCAGACTGCCCTCCGCAATGTGGGTGGGCATTAGTCAATCAGTTGAAGACCTGAATAGGACAAAGGTAGAAGAAGGATGAATTTGTCCCTTTTTGCTTCTTGCTTGCTGCTTGAGATGGAACATCTCATCTCATCTTCTTCTGCCATAGGACTGGGATATACATTACCAGCTCCCTTGGTTCTCAGGTATTTGGACCCAGATTAAATTACACCACTGGCATTCCTGGGACTTTGGCTTGCAGACAACAGATCATGAGACTTTGCAGGCTCCATAGTCATGTGAGCCAATTCCCCATAATACAATAGATATTAGTACCAAGAAGTGAGAGTGCTGCTGTAATAAATGCCTAAAAATGTGGAAGTGGCTTTGGAACTAGGTGATGGATAGAGGCTGGGAGAATTTTGAGATGCATCCTAGAAAAAGCCTACACTGTTGACATAAATCATTAAAGATGATTCTGGTGAGGGCTCAGAAATAAAAGAGTAGGGCTGCAGAGAAAGCCTCATACTTCTTAGAGAATATCTAAGTAATCATGACCAGAATATTGATAAAAATATAGATGGTAAAGGCCATTCTGATAAGGCCTTAGATGGAAATGAAGAAGATATTATTGGAAACTGGAGGAAAGGTGATTCTTGTCATAAAGTGGTGAAGAAGTTGGTTGAATTATGCTCATACTCCAGTGCTTTATGGAAGGTACAACTTGTAAAGAATAAAATTGGATATTTAGCTGAGAAAATTTCTAAGCAGTGTTTAAGGTACAGCTTAGCTTCTCCTAACTGCTTACAGTAAAATGCAAGAAGAGAAAAAATGACTTCATTTTTAGTTAATTACTTGCTTTTGTTAAGGAAAAATAAAGGCAGTAAAAGATTGGAAAGATTTTTGGCCTATCCATATTGTAAAAAATGAGAATACTAAGGGTGTGGCCAAACCACCATTTGATAAAGAGATTAGTATGGATCAGCCATCTCAGTAGAAGTCAGGCACTATTCTTCAAAACTGTGGAAGAACGACTTCAAAGGTGATTCAGAGATCATTAGGGTTGCCACCATCAACACAGGCCCAGAGGATATGGGCCTGGAAGTTATGGCTGCCTCCATTTATGTTTCAAAGGACAGGGCTGCCTGAAGCTGTAGGGCTGCAATTCTAGCCTGGAGGGAGCTGCTGCTGGGGCAGGGCCATAGCAGAAAGCTGTGGCATGGGTAGGGCCACCACAGAGACTCAGGGCTTGTGTATTACCCCACCAAGCCAGGGGTGTGATGCTGTTGCCCCAGTGGGTCTAGAGAGTGAAGCATTAAGCTGAAGAGGATTATTCTTAAGCCTTAAGATTTAATATTGTTTGCCTTGTTAAGTTTTTGACTTATTTGAGGCCCATTACCCCTTTCTTGTTTCCTATCTCTCCCTTTTGGAAAGAAACTGTCTGTTCTGTGCCTGTGTCACCATCATATTTTGAAAGCAGATAAATTGATTGGTTTCACAGGTTCACAACTAAAGAGGAATTTGCCTGTGGATGAATCATACTTTGAGTTTCATCCATATCTGATTTAGATGTTATTTAGATGAGACTCAGGACTTTAGAGTTGTTGCTGGAATGAACTAAGACTTTTGGGGCTGTTAGATGGAATGAATGCATTGTATATATGAGAAAGACATACATTTTGTGGGCCTAGGGGTGAAATGCTATGGACTGAATGTATCTTCCCAATTTATATGTTGAAATCCTAACCCCTGATGTGATGGTATTAGGAGGTAAGGCCTTCGGGAGGTGATTAGGCCATCACAGTGGAGCCCTCAGGACTGCGATTACTGCCCTTAGGAAAGAGACCCTGGAGAGATCCCTCACCCTTTCTGCCATGTGATGACACAATGAGGAGATGGCCATCTATGAACTAGGAAGTGGGCCCTCACCAGACACTGAATCTGCCAGTTCCTTGATCTTGGACTCTCTACCCTCTAGATTGTGAGAAATGCGTGTTTGTTGTTTAAGCCACTCAGTATATTATAGTTTATTATAGCAACCTGAATGGACTAAGACAAACATTAATTCTCATTAACTATATTATATGTTGTTTTTATTTTTCCTCTTGGAACAATTTTAAGTGGTGTAAAAACAGAAAAAAAAGTAAACATTAACAAAATGAGTGTCCCTCACGTACCTCCCCTCTCAGTTCATAATTTACTTGATCTCTGGGGAATAGTGAATCTCATTCTTTTACCTCATAAAGTAAATATAAGAATTAGAATATCTCCAAATTTCAATGTAATGAAGTCCAAGTAAATAATTTTACTGTAGCTATACCTAAATGTGTCTGTTAGTTTTTTCCAAACAGCTGTGAAATCCTCAAATCGTTTGTTTCTGGAAGGCATTTTTAAAAATTCCCTTCTTAAAATATAGGCAAAATGGTTTTGTCTGATTTGGGAATTTGTCGCACTGTGAATATAATGCTGCATTCCATAGAACTGTCTCAGGAAGAATTAGAAAGCTATCTTATTACCTCATCCTTTGGTAGGTCTTCTTGGTTCTCCTTCCATCCTTTGTTCAGCCAGGTACAAACAATTTGAGGGAAGCCATCTCTAGGCTGAGTAAGGTGTTGGAAGATGGACAAAAAACCACCCCCAAGACCCCAAACTGAAAAAAACCAGGAAAGATTTGCTTCTCAACTTCTTTATTTTTATTTATTTATTTTTGAGACAGGGTCTTGCTCTGTTGCCCAGGCCAGTGTGCTGTGGAGCGATCACAGCTCACTGCAGCCTAAACCTCCCAGGGTCAGGTGATCCTTTCACCTCAGCCTCCCAGGTAGCTGGGACTTACAGGTGTGTACCACCATGCCTGGCTAATTTTTGTATTGTTTGAAGATACAGGGTTTCACTGTGTTGTCCAGGCTGATCTCAAACTCCTGAGCTCCACTGATCTGCCAGATCTGGCCTCCCAGAATGCTGGGATTACAGGCGTGAGCCACCAAGCCATCCTTATTTTTATGGCAGAGAAAACAAAAACCTGGACAAGGTGAAGGAATTTGTCCAGAGAAGACAGAGATTTCTCTTGGTCCCTGATTATTTGGATTCTTTTACTGTATTGAATTTATTCTATTTATATTCTTCTTGATTATGTTTTTGTTTTTAAAAATGGTTCTGACCTGACACAAACTTGAAGAGCATTTCTAAAATAATGACGCACAACTTAAGATGCCCGTGATTGGAAAGCAATGTTTTGTTGTGAGGAGAGACGATGTGGCCTTCCTGGTTGCAGGCGCATCTGCAGTTTGTGCTGTATTGCTCAATGCTGTAATATAAAGTTCATCTGTTCTCTGACTTCCAAAATGCAGTGAACCAAGGCCAGAAAGCATGAAAATATTTATTTTAGCATTGTCTTATAAATAAAAGTTAAATTTATTCTTTTTTCTGAAGTTTAATATAGTGTGTATTACATTTCAATCCATGCTAATTATAAAATATTTGACCACAAAAATCTAGCAACTTATAATTAACAGATTTAATGACATGGTCATACAATTTTAGAGTGGAAGGGACTCCATAAATCATTTATATTGGTGGTTCTGATATTTTTTTGGATTATGGCTCCCTGTGTTCATCTTAAAATATTGGAATCTATTCTCCAGGACAGTATACATGTTTGCATTTTTACTATGTGTGTTTGTATTTGTGTGTGTATGTAGTACGTATTTTTTTTAACCACCTCACAGATAGCTGAATTTCATTCATAGATTCTCCTCCTTTGGCTTCTAAGAATACCTGATATATTTATTTTGGAAAAAAAAAACTACGAAAAGTAGTATTTGAAAGACTTTTAAGAAATAATTAACATGCAGGCTTATACTTGAACCATTCATTATACCAATATAGTATAAAAGAAAGAATGCAAGAATAACAGTCAGAATCAATGGGCCCTGCAAATAATTAACTGTTCATTTTGATTTTATCACGTAACTTCTCTGGGCTTTTGTTTCTTGTCAGTAAACTGAAGACTCTGCGAGTTGAAAAACATCTTGGAAATCAAGTTCAAGTGCCTATAACTGGAGAATTCATGTTATTCTACAAGAACAGCTTCCAAACCTCAAATCTTAATTTACACATACTAATTTTTAATAGCATTTAAAATACTTATTATGTACTCACGAATTTTGTTTTAATAGCACTTAAAATATTCGTCTACTCAAGAATTTTGTCAGATAAAAAAACTTATCACTTAACTAAGGAGACAAACTAACACATAAAACGATTTGGAGACTACTGATTTGTTACATTGTGTGTATACCAGAGTTCCCCCAATAAAGGTAGACTGAAGCTTGGTTACTTGCCCAAGCTCATGCAACTCCCAAGTGGCAGATCTGGGTGTAAACTCAGGCATCTGGGCGTCAGAGTCTGCTCTTCACCATCACACAACCTGACATCTTGAAGGCATGATCAGTGTGAGTAGGGATGGCCAGAGAAGCTCTTTGCTGTGTTGATACTTGAGCTGCCTCTGAACAGAGAAGAGGTTGAGGGGAGGAAGATACACTTTTCAGGATGCTGGAAGGGCATGGGCAGCTTTCAGAAGGAATATAGACTGCTTATCTCAATATAGGCAATATAACAATGGATACTTAGAGTCTTCTTCCCGGTATTCAGTTTTCTGTCATAAGAGTTACATTAATTCCAGCCATCAAGCATTGCCTGGATGTGGGCTCTATCTAATAATTCTTCCCACCTCTATGATGATACCTCCCCCGGCTCTCCCCGTAGCATCACAACCCAGAATGTCTCAGACCAACCTCTGTGCCCTTTCTGCTCCACCTGACCTTCTTTCTAGGGCTCCAAATTTTGTTAGACAACTAGTGAAGGAAGATGGCATCATCAAGGTCCCTTCTAGCTCCAAAGCAGTACCAGCATATCATATTGGGAATGGCAATATACCTCTTTTGTCTTTATGATGTTCCTTATTCAATTCAGACACAAATAAAAATAGTACAATTTTTTTTGACTTTTCATGACAAACATTATATTTTTTTTATCCTGGTCCTGTTTGTGAAAAATTGCATTACCACAACTTTCCTGTTAGAGTAAATTTTGTGTGAGTATGTTATTTAAAAATGACAATCCTATTTATTTTTGTAGCTTCACCCTAAACATTTTTACATTATATAAAATCCACTTATGGAAAGCACTAGAAATCACCGCTTCATCTAACTAAAGTTTGCAATGGGAATATTGGTGCTTTGGCAGGAGTTTTAAACTTTCCTTCAAATGCCAAATTCAAAATGACAAAGGACTGGCAAAGATACATTAAAGATGTAAATAAAATTTTATGGTTTTTTATTTTTGTATGCCCTATGATCTTTGTTCACATTCTTTAATAACACTCTTTCCAAATGACATTAATTTTTTCTGAGTCTCTTCCACTGAAGTGTGAGCCCCTAGGGGTTAGGGAGCAGCTTTGTTATCTCAGCCCCTGGTATGGTCATTGTCTGTAGTGCGAATGGGTAGAAAGGATGAACGTGGGTGAAAGATATGAAGGGTAAGAAGAAGAAATTGATCTGCTGAACACAATTAAACTTTTAGAGAACCTGATTTGATTAATTTGTATACAAATACTGATGCTTTGCATATTTCAGTTTCTAAATTGAATAAATGAGTATTTTAAGAAATGTGTTAAGACTTCTTAGTTTGCAAGGTACAGAGATCTACTTGAATTATCTTAAGGATAAGGATGTTTATTTTCAGAATATTAAGTGGAAAATGTCCAAGTATCTAAAGGAGGAGTTACAATACCTTTAAACTTGATATTTAGAAACGTCCAAATAATGAAGATAATAAAAATAAGATAAAAAATAAAAAATAAAGATAATGTTTTAATATATTTAATATGTTTAACTTGTTATTACTGCAAACTCACCATTTTTTATTATTTAGTCTTGGAATGATTTAAAGAATTTTTTGTTTGTTTCCTCATTAAGATAATTTTTTTTTTTTTTTTTTGAGACAGAGTCTCGCTCTGTCACCCAGGCTGGACTGCACTGGTGCAATCTGGGCTCACTGCAACCTCTGCCTCCCAGGTTCAAGTGATTCCTCTGCTTTAACCTACCCAGTAGCTGGGACTGCAGGCACACACCACCACGCCTGGCTAATTTTTTGTATTTTAGTAGAGATGGGGTTTCACCATGTTGGCCAGGATGTTCTTGATCTCCTGACCTTGTGATCTGCCCGCTTTGGCCTCCCAAAGTGCTGGGGAGAATATTTATATCTTCTAATCATTGTGAGGCTTACATGAGGATTTTATTTAAAATAAAAAAGCTCAGTGACTGACTTTATAGGTACAAAACTATAATAGTTTTTCTCCATTCCTTGAAAAATAAAAATTATGTTTTGTCTGTGCAACATTATCTGATTTGACGCTCATGATAATAGATTATGTGAATGGATTGTGAAAGTTCAAAGAGATTCACAAATACTTGTGTTATTGATAATAATTGATTGATATTAACCATTCAAGGTAGTATCTAAACAGTAAGACCCAGAAACCTTCAGAGGTAGAGTTCTTTTAAAAAATTCAAGCTGGTTGCAGTGGCTCACACCTGTAATCCCAGCATTGGGTGGCTGAGATGGGTGGATCACCTGAAGTCAGGAGTTCGAGACCGGCCTGGTCAACATGGTGAAACCCCGTCTCTACTAAAAATACAAAAATTAGCTTGATGTGGTGGCAGGCGCCTGTGATCCCAGCTACTCTGGAGGCTGAGGCACTAGAATTGCATGAACCCTGGAGATGGAGGTTGCGGTGAGGCGAGATTGCACCACTGCACTCCAGCCTGGGTGACAGAATGAGACTGTCTCAAAAAAAAAAAAAAATTAAAATCAAATCAAGGATAGAAATTTATTTGCATGCTTAAGAGTAAAGATTAAATTTAATTACATACAACCACAAAAATTCAATACAATTTACAGTCAGATAGCAAATACAAGTCATTAGTAAACTTTAAAAATAGATGAAAAGTTGTCATTTATGTTTGTAGGCACTTCTGTAAAAGTTCTCTTAGATTTTGATTTCTCAATAGGAAGTTGTCTTTCATTTCTTAATTTGAACAAACAGAAAATTCCATTTGTAGTAGTGAGTCTTTATAAATAGCTTTATAATTGTTTCCAGTTTATATTTGTAAAAAGCCTCCACTAGAATAAAGAGAATTATTTGTATTTTTTTCATGTCTTTGAAGTTTGTGCAAAGTGAAAAAAAATTAGCCAGAAGTGCCTAGAAAAATGACAGAGGCAGAAAGAATCTTATACTTTGAAAATTATATTTCTCAAGATTTTCACCACTATAGCTGAAGAATCTGAGAATTTGGCATTGTTTGAGTAACTAGACTACATCCACAGAGTATTAGTGGAAGTTCTAGGACTACAATTTCGATGGCAGAATCCAGTTCTGAAGCAGTCTTTTTAAATAAAAAGAATCTCCACTGGTCTTTTGTAAAGTGTAAGAAGCTGGCATGTGTTAGTGTACATGTTAGCCATTCATGCTGTTTAACTAAAGGAAAGTAAGTTTATGTTCTTTAATGGATAGCTATTAGAATATTTGCTTCTCATGAACAGACACAGTCTACTAAACACCAAATAAAAACAAAATGTCACATGCATTTTGTTTATTTTTAATAAGAAAGTAGTGTGTCTAGTAGCACCCTGATAGCCAAGAGTGTTTTTCAATAAAATGATGTAACTCTCTTTAAAGACTATCAGTTCCTACTCACCCTAGGATATTTTCATGGAAAAAAATGTTTTTGTGAAATGAAATTATAATTTTTTGTTGAATGTTTCCACTAATCAACTCGGGTAATTTTTTTTGGGTTATTCTTTATGGACTGAGTAAGATCTTACTATACTGAGGTTACCTGTCTCAAACAATTTATCTATAGGTGAAAATTTAACTTTTATGAAAGTTCTCAAGTGCCTTCATTATCCTTCATGAAATACAAAAATTATCTTCACAACTATTTAAAAATGTTAACATGGGCTGGGCATGGTGGCTCATGCTCATAATCCCAGTACTTTGGGAAGCCAAGGTGGGCAGATCACTTGAGGTCAGGAGTTTGAGACTAGACTGGCCAATATGGTGAAACCCCATCTCTACTAAAAATACAAAAATTACCCGGGCATGGTGGTGAGCACCTGTAATTCTAGCTACTCAGGAGGCTGAGGCAGGAGAATCACTTGAACCCGGGAGGTGGAGGTTGCAGCAAGCCGAGATTGTGCCACTGCACTCCAGCCTGGGCGACAGAGTGAGATTCCATCTAAAAAAAAAAAAATTAAAATGATTTAAACTTAATTGTTTTTATCATAAAACATACATGTTTATTGTAAAAGATCTGAACAAATGAAAAAAAAGTTGAATATTAGCCTCTAGATAGTGAGATTACACATTAACACTTCAGTGTATACTTCTGGTCTTTCACATTTTTGTGTACACATTTTTCTAAAATAATAATTTTTGTTTTTGAGATAGGGTTTTCCTCTGTCACCCAGACTGGAGTGCAGTGGCCCCATCTTGGCCCACTGCAACCTCTGTCTTCTGGGTTGAAGCGATTCTCATGCTTCAGCCATCAGAGTAGCTGGGATTACAGGCATGCGCCACCATGCCCAGCTAATTTTTATATTTTTAGTAGAGGTGGGATTTCGTTATGTTGGCCAGGCTGTTCTCGAATTCTTGGCCTCATGTGGTCTGCCTGCCTTGGCCTCCCAAAGTTCAGGGATTACAGGTATGAGCCACTGCACCCACCCCCAAAATAATAATTGAAAACATAATGTTTTAGACTTGTTTTTCTAAATGTGATATCTTGGATATCTTTCTATGGCAATTATAAATTGTTCAATAATATTTCAGTGGCTTATTCTAATATGTCACAAATTTAAAAATATTACTTTATCAGACATTTAGGTTTTCATAATGTTTTAAAAATAAACCTCGCTTTGATGAATATCCATGTAACTAAATGTTTGAAAATACAGTTATGTTGATTTCACTCAGGATAAATTTCAAGAAATAGATTTGCTGGGTCAGAGAAAATACTTTTTAGAAGCTTTTGATTTATATGGCTAACGTGCCCTCCAGAAGTGTCATAACATGGATCCTCTTTAAATAAAACCATGTGAAATATATAACTTTTTTTTTTTTTTTTTTTTTTTTTTTTGGTGAGATGGCATCTCACTCTGTCACCCAGGCTGGAGTTCAGTGGCCTGATCTCGGCTCACTGCAAACTCCACCTCCCAGGTTCAAGCAATTCTCCTGCCTCAGCCTCCCGAGTAGCTGGGACTATAGGCGCGGACCACTATGCTGGGCTGATTTTTTTTTTTTTGTATTTTTAGTAGAAACAGGGTTTTACCATGTTGGCCAGGCTAATCTCGATCTCCTGACCTTGTGATCCGCCTGCCTCAGCCTCCCAAAGTGCTGGGATTACAGGTGTGAGTCACCACACCTGGCCCAAAATATATAACTTTTATGGGGCCTTGACAGTGGTCTTGTTTAATAAAAAACACCAGCAGAAAGTTTCTACTGTTAAGAAGTGGAAAGGAAGGATGGAAAAAGACAAATGGATGCAGAGCAAAGACTGGAAAGGTTATTTTCAATATCAAAGCAAGATTTACTCTTCCAGTTTGAATAAACTTTCCTTAGCAGACTGGGCTAATTGTCATAATAGACCCCAGGTAAGGCTTTGTTTGCCTTTCCATATTTCTCCTCCTTTTCTACTTTTCTTCAATTTTACTTCCACATTTCTCCTATTCAGATATTCTTTCTTCCAGAGATGGCACTGGTGACATTTGGCTGATTATCCTCTGAGGGTCTTTCCAATGTGAATCTCATGACTAGTTTAAGTCATAGGCTAGAGACAGTGAAAGGGAACTTAATAACCTGGGACAGTCCCATGCATTTCATCACTGTCCCATCATCTGACCTCTTCAAGGTGTGGAATCCTGACATCAGCTTGTATTTAGAAAGAGCTAGTTTTTGAATCAGCTAATATAAATTTTTGTTACCATATTAGGATACAATAGGAGTTATTTCTCTTGCCCATGTAAATGTTAACTTCCCATAAAAAATACATTGATATTTGAGAGTGATGTAATAAATACCATAGCCCGTTTAAGTATCCTATAATTCTCTGAGTATGGTTCCAGGATCTGTAGCATCAGTGTCCAGGGAACTTCTCAGGAATATAAATTCTCAGGAATATAAATTCTCAGTCCTGATCACAGTCCTACTGAATCAGACACTCTGGGTGTGAGGCCCAGTATTCTGTTTTAACAAGCTCTCCAGGCAATTGTTATGCATGCTAAAGTTGGAAAACCATTGATCTAAGACAATAAAGTCATGTGTCCTATAACAATGTTTTGGTCAACAAAGGACCACATATACAATAGCCATCCCATCCCATAAGATTATAACGGAGCTGAAAAATTCCTATTGCCAAGTGATGTTGTAGCCATTGTAACATCATAGCACAATTACTTTATTTTTTATAAATTTAGTGTAGCCTAAGTGTACAGTGTTTATGAAGTGTACAGTAGGGTACAGTAATGTCCTAGGCCTTCACATTCAGTCACCACTCACTCCTTGATTCACCCAGGGCAACTTCCAGTCCTTCAAGTTTCATTCATGGTAAGTGCCCTATGCAGGTGTACCATTTTTTCTTTTATACTGTATTTTTACTTACCTTTTTAATGTACAGCTATAGGGACACAAATTCTTATAATTGTGTTACAATTGTCTAGAGTTTTCAGTACAGCAACATGCTATACAGGTTTGTAGTCTAGGAACAATAGACTACCATAAAGACTAGGTTTCTGGTGGGCTTTACCATCTAGGTTTGTGTAAATATGATATTCAACAGTGACAAAATCACCTAATGATGCATTTCGAAGAATGTATTCCCCTTTTTACGTGACACATGACTGTAATCCGAAGTTTTTATGACCGTTAAATCAATGAGTTTGGAAGCCTGTGATTTATAGGAAAGAGTCCTCCACCATCTCTCCCAGGATTTGACTTAGTTGTACTATACAAAGCCTCAAAGATATCTTTAAAATATGTGTAGAATCAGCAACATTTCCCTGGAAAAATAATAGGAAAATTGTTATTTCTTAAATTGCTGAGGCTGAAAAGTCATGTTTCTTAGGAATGTTTTAATGTTACATTCCTCATTTAGCTTAGTACAGCTGAAAGGATGTTTCCCATTACTGTTCTTTGTTTTCCCCAGGGGTTACATGTACCCTCTCCACCAGATTTCTGGTTGCTATGAGTAAAAGCTTCTATGTTATCATTCATTCAAATGTTTTCACTTGGAATAAAAGCATACAGACTCATGAGAAAAAGTAACTCCAGTAGTGCGTTTCTCACAAGTATTATCCAATTAAGATAGTGAAATGATTTTTTGATTTGTAAGACAATCTTTGCTCGGGGTAAGAAACAAGGTTAACTATCCCTTTGTAGGGTTCTATGTAGCTTACAGATTGCAAAAATTAAAGTTAAGTTAATAAATGTGAGACGTAAAATGTATATGGTTGCTGCTCCTTACTCAGGAGTCAGGTGAAGGTATCCCAGCAAAACCCAACTATTTAATGAGGACAAAGACCTCTTTCATCAGTGATATGGTTTGGCTGTGTCCCCACCCAAGCTTACTTCGAATCATAGTTCTCATAATCCCCACATGTCGTGGGAGGGACCAGGAGGAGATAATTGAATCATGGGGTCTGTTTCCCTCATCCTGCTCTTGTGATAGTGAGTTAGTTCTCCTGATATCTGAAGGTTTTATAAGGGCCTTCCCCCTTTCCTGGGCACACTTCTCTCCGCTGCTGCCTTGTGAAGAAGGGTATGTTTGCTTTCCCTTCCGCTATGATTGTAAGTTTACTGAGGCTTTCCCAGTCATGCAGAACTGTGAATCAATTAAATCTCTTTTTAAAATAAATTACCCAGTCTTGGCTGTTTATTCACAGCTGCACAAGAAGGGACCAACATAATCAGTTAACATCCCTGTGGGGCCTTGTCAAAGGTTGGCCACAGAGGAAACTATGGGAAGATATAGGCTCTGGGCAGCAGACATGTGAAGGCTGGTTTAGTGAAATAGGCCAGAGAGATTTCTTGTTGCTTGAAATTCACTGGGTCCTGGGCCAGTTATGGAAAATTATTCTTGTACTTTTCACCTCTCCTGGGTATGGTCAGAGCTACTCCTTTCAACACTTGTGAACAGATGGCAGGAGGAACCATGGTTTCTAGGGGGAAGGGGAAGTGTTAAGAAGGAAAGAAAAGTTGAGAGATGTAGAAAGTGTGTTTTATTGCTGAACCACCTCATGATGTTTTGTTTCTTTGTTGTTTATAAATAAGATTGCCAACTATAGGTGAATGAAATAAAAACAAAGTATAAAATGATCCTATTCACTTTATCATGTTACCCTTTGACTTTTTTCATAAGTGACTATATATTGTCTTTTTGCAAACATACATAATATTCTCAAGCTAAATTCACCCATGATCTATGCACAAATATCTGAGCATAATAATTGGTGTAAAGTGGGTAAATAACAAATTAAACAATGTTAAAAAACATATCAACAAGGTCCCTCAGTTATAGAGAATATGTTACATTTAAACAAGAAAAATAAATTTTTAGGAAATGTATACAGAAAGGGAGCATAGAATGAGTGGAATTGTACATAAGACCAACAATATAGTTGCTAGTAGTTGAAAATAAATGACTAGATAAGGAATTGTCATCCAATGTACAAAAAAAGTATTCCTATAAAATAAGCCTTGGGAAAATAAACTATATTAAAAAACCTTTTTGGACTGTGTCTTGTATTTATCACAGTCAAACACTGATTTCATTATTGGGGCTCATTTTTATAACCAGTTCATTGTGTAAAGTAATGTGTTCAACAAAAATGTAACAAATATGGGCATACTGAGTGAAAGAAGTGAATTTAAAACTAAAGAGCCTTTATAATATTTAACTGTTCTCCTAAAAATGGGGAACATTTTCACTCTTTTCTTACATGATAAATCCCAAGCTTTGAGTCAATTTCACTAATCAGGGAAGGACTGAAACCAAATGATGTAAGCTGCTCACACTGCAGTGAACCACTAACTGTAAAGAGGCCTGGGTAACATTTGCTCAGGAGGAGCAGTAGGTCTGTATAATAGTTATTTGCTTGTGGCCAACACTGAATTTTATGTTAAGCATAATCTTCATTGTGGAGAGTGATTAATACAGTGTCATAGGAATCACCATATGATGAAAAAAAACATACTTAACAGAGTAGGAAGCCACATTTGAAAATAATTTCAAGAGAAAACCCATAATTTCCAAGAGCACATAATGACAACATTTAAAATAAACCCTGAAACACCAATACTCGGACTGATTGGGTGGCATCAAATTAGAAATTTCCAACTAGTTTATTATTCTCTATTTGCCAAACATCTGCTCAGTTACATATTTTTTAGTTTGAAAATACACAGCTAGAGGTTGATCCTTGTATTGTTTTTTGAATAACAATCTGTAATAATTATTTGAAACTCTAGGGTATGATTTGGGCTATTATCTGTTGGGATTTTGCTGAACTGCAGTAAAGGGAAAGGAAATAAGTACTTATTGAACACCTATTATTTTTTTATTTTTATTTTTTATTATACTTTCAGTTTTAGGGTACATGTGCACAACGTGCAGGTTTGTTACATATGTATACATGTGCCATGTTGGTGTGCTGCACCCATTAGCTCATCATTTAACATTAGGTATATCTCCTAATGCTATCCCTCCCCCCTCCCCCCACCCCACAACAGGCCCCGGTGTGTGATGTTCCCCTTCCTGTGTGCATGTGAACACCTATTATATTTCAGATGCATCGTATATATCTCATCACTCGGTTATTAGAACAGCTCTGCGAGCTAAGCAATCCAACCCCTAACTTAAAGATGAAGAAGACATGGTACTCAAGAGACATCATGTTAAGTTGACCAAAGTCAGTCAGTGTGTAAGTGATAGGGTTAGTTACTTAACCTCTCCAACCCTATAAAGTCAGGATAATATCTATCTCATGGTTATTATAAGTATTAAGTGAGATGATGTAGATAAAGACCTTAAGGAAGTGCTGCTAAATTGTGGTTCAAACTCTCTCCTCAGAGTTCTCGGTCAACATGCCCATTCTCCTTAGGTTGTGACCAAAACAGAACTTCAACTTTTAATTACTGATGTTTCTTGCTGAGTGCACATCATTGAAACACCACAGGAACGCTGTTGAAGAATATGGACAATTCTAGTATTTCTAAAACAGTTTGCTTCAAGTGTTGTCCTTTATTTTTATTCTATTTTATTTCACTTTATTTTGAGACAGAGTTTCACTCTGTCACCCAGGCTGGAGTGCAGTGGTGCCATCTTGGCTCACTGCAACCTCCACCTGCTGGATTCAAGCAATTTCTCCTGCCTCAGGCCCCCGAGTAGCTGGGATAACTGGGATCACAGTTGTGTGCCACCATGCCTGGCTAATTTTTCTGTATTTTTAGTAGAGACAGAGTTTTGTCATGTTGGCCAGGCTGGTCTCAAACTCCTGGTGTCAAGTGATTCACCTGCCTTGGCTTTCCAAAGTGCTGGGATTACAGGTGTGAGCCACCACCCCGGGCCTCTTTATTTTTATTTTAAGGAAGTGATGAGTTATAAACATGTTATTATATTAGGGTTCTCTAGAGAAACAGAACTACCTATCAACTCCTCACTCTCTTTCCCTCTCCCTCTCCTTGCCATAAGAAATTGGCTCACATGATCATGGAGGCTGAGAAGTCCCAAGATGTGCAAATTGGCAGGCAGAAAACCCAGGAGAGTTGTTAGTATAGTTCCAGCCTGAGTCTGAAGACCTGAGAATCAGGAGAACCAATGATGTAAGTTCTAGTCCAAGTCCAAAAGCCCGAGATCCAGGAAAACTGATGATGTAAATTCTAGTTCAAGGGCAGGAGAAAACTGATGTTCTAGCTCAAGTGGTCAAGCAGGCAGAGTTACTTTTTTGTTCTATTCAGGTCTTCAATTGATTGGATGAGGCTGTCCACATTAAGGGAGGGCAATCTGCTCATTTTACCAGAGATTCAAATGTTAATCTCATCAAGAAACACCCTTACAGACACACCCAGAGTGATGCTTATTTATTTATTTATTTTTAAAATTTTAGATTCAGGGGGTATGTGTGCAGGTTTGTTACATGGGTATATTGTGTGATGCTGAAGTTTGCCCTTGTATTGGTTCCATCACCAAAATAGTGAGCATAGAACCCCATAGATAGTTTTCAACCCTTGTTCCCTTCCCTTCCTCCCCACTTTTGGAGTCCCCAGTGTCAATTGTTTCCATTTTTGTGTCCAAGTGTATTCAATGTTTAGCTCCCTCTTGTAAGTGGGAACATGCAGTATTTGATTTTTCTGTTTCTGTGTTAATTCACTTAGGATAAGTGAATTTCTATGTTAACTCACTCCGGTTGTATCCATGTTGCTGAAAAGAACATGATTTTGTTCTTTTTTATGGTTGCGTAGTATGAACTAGTGTTTGACTAAATGTATGGGTGCCTCATGAACCAGTCAAGTTGACGCAAAAGCTTAACCATAACAGATATCTTTTGGTATTTCAGTAGATGTAGGAATGTGTTTTTTACAGCTGACAACATCCATGGCATTATGAAAAGTATCATTTTGATTTCTTAATGTAAAACTACCTTCTCTCTGGAGGTTTAGTAATCAGAATATTCCTAACATGTAAACCTTTTACAGTCAGCCCAGCATTTGAGTCCCACCATCAACTTGAAATCAGGTATTGGTGCTGTTGTTAGTAGTAAATATCTGAAGGTTGACAGGGTCTGGGAAGCTTGTGTATAAAAACTTCCCAGCAAGTTTTTCACCACATTTATATCTTAAATGTATTATGTCAGTGTTTATTGGTGGTGTGGGAAGCTACTTCATAGGATGTATTACAATTATTAGACTAAAACGAGATAGGCATTGTTATTTCTTCTGAAAGATAAGGACTAAGACGAACATTTTTATTCTTGGTGATTTTGAGATGCAACCATTTCTATTAAATGTTATGAATACGTAAACAAACATGTTGTTTGAAGATGATAACACAACAGTTAGACAGTTGTCATGAGGTTGCATGTAAATTGTTGAGAAAACTTCCCAGTGTACAGCAGGAGATCAATAAATTCTTCTCACATTCCTCCTTCTTTCCTTCTGGTACAGAAACCACACCTTCTATGACTCTGCTGTTATATATTTTAAATACTCTGTGAAAACTTGTTTGTTTTTTGATTGTTGAAACTATGACCACAGAAGGATTTTGCATTTTAAGTGGCTTAAATAGGAATCAGAAAAGCCTAAAATCTTGCAGAGTCTAAAGTAAAATAATTGTAAATCTAGTTCTGGCAACCTAGATGGTTAGATATTTGGGTAACTATTTAGCATGTGTGGCTTTTGCCAAAAACAGATTGCATAAGGTCATGGGATTTATGCAGTTATATTTTCACTTTAGGGGCTGTGGGAATAAAAATAATTCCCCAACTCCTCCATTTTAAATATATTCTTATAATCTTTTCATATTTTCTCCTGAGAAAACTCAGCTAATCCATATATCCTAAAGACACATGTATACAAACATACACATGTAGGCTAAATATTAAACTATACATTGAATATATAAAAATTACATATATAAACAGTATAAAATCTATATACCTAAACTAAATAGATAATATAAAAGTAAATATATTGATGTCTATATTTATATTTTTACTTATATCTATTAGAACCATGTCTTGATTTCTTCCTAGGGGTTAGAAAGCTGTCCTAGGGATATAAGATGAAGAAAAAATACACTGTCTCCCTTCATGAACTTCATATTTTATTTGGTGAAAAGATAAATAATTCATGTAGTGTTTATGCCTGATATAATAGAAATCTAACACAAAGTAATAATAGTAGAGGAGAGCATATGGGGTGGTTGGACAAGGCTTTCTAGGACAGGTGACAATTGACTTTTATGATAATTAGTAATTCCTCAAGAGGAAAAAGGCTGGGAGGGATAAAAAGGATGGCCTGCCGAAAGTCACAGTAGCATAACAGCACACAACTTGTCTTCAATAGGAGGTGCATGAGTGTGGGTGGAACCCAGTAGGTTGGATTGAGAGGATTCGTTGTGTAACAGCAGAAGAAGAACCTGAAAATGAGTTGAAAGATTGCTGTATTAGTCCATTCTCATACCGCTATAAAGAACTGCCTGAGACTGGGTAAATTATAAAGGAAAGAGGTTTAATTTACTCACAGTTCTGCAGGGCTGGGGAAGCCTCAGGAAACTTACAATAATGGTAGAAGGGGAAGCAAACACGTCCTTCTTCACATGGTGGCAGGAAGGAGAAGAATGAGAACTGAGTGAAGGAGGAAGCCCCATATAAAACCATCAGATCTTATGAGAACTTACTATCACCAGAATAGCACTGGGGAAACTGCCCCCATGATTTAGTTACCTCCCATCGGGCACCTCCCATGACACATGGGGATTATGGGAACTACAATTCAAGATGTGATTTGGGTGGGGACACAGCCAGACCATATTAGCAACCTACACAGAACAAAGGAAGTTTGAAACTATATTCCAGAGACCAATGTGCTATAGGGAATATGCATGAGAAATTATCCTTTTTCTTTTGGAAATTGAAAGAGATAAAACAAGCAGACCAAATTAAAGTTAAGACAGATTGTAGTGAGACGTCTAAACCAGCTCTTCCCAAATGCTAGTGTATACACAACGGGCCTGAGGAACTTGAAACAAGTCAGATTCTGACTCAGTATATCTGGGATGGGTCCAAAACTCTGCATTCCTAACAAGCTTCCAGGTAATGCCTAGTTGTTGGTCTGCAGACCACCCTTTGAGTAGCAAGGGGCCACAGCCTGAAAGGACCAGGAGAGAAGCCAGTCTGGTAGGAAGCAGAGGAACAGAGGCAGACAGGGCATGTTTGAAGAAAAATTGGTTTGGAAAAAATTATTAAAATATCCTGGTGGAAGCAAATTCACATAACCAATGACTCAATAATTTTGCTTGTTATGAAATAACATGATGAGAATCAGAAAATTTATTTCCCAAAATACATGAGTGTTCTGTGAGACAGGGTAATGTTTATATGTTATACTTCCCCAAAAGACAAACTGTTACTAATACTATTCCATATGCCTAATGTTCTGAAAGTTAGGCTTTGGATCCACATTTTGTTGACAGAGACTTTCTTATCCTTTGAACTTGAAAGTCTTCCCATGACCCTGCATGCTCAGACGGCTCTCCACCACTCATCTCTCCTCCTCTTCATCTATCAAAATAAACTAATATTTTGCTGTTTTGCATTTTATTCCACTTCTTCAATCCTGCTCTTAATGTAGCAGACATCTTACAATATTTGGCTTTTCCATTGTCTAAGGCAAATCCCTAGTGGTGCTGTGATTCCATCTTTCTTACCCTCGTTCAGGGATTTTATTTCACTGATTACCCCATCCCCTTCCTGTATATTAATTCTGTCTCTACAAAGAGGCTCTTTGCCTGCTCCATTGTCTTTCATGTTAGACATAAGTTTCTCTCTAGCTAATGCCCTCTCTTCTTCCCTCTAGGCTATATTTGAAACTTTCTCACCTCTCTTCACCGCAACTCACATTCATTCACCAACCCACTGCAGTCTGATTTCTATCCCCTCCCTGAAATGGCTTACCTGAAATGACTCTTGCTAAGCTGCCAGTGAACTGTTACATGAAATGGATATTTCATAACTTGTTTTACTTGATGTGAAGGCCATTTTTCATGCCACTATTCCCCTCCTCTCTCATAAGAGGCTCCCTCTCAGGATCTCTTATTTTCCACTTAGTGTCTAAACTTTGGTTTCCCACATACACAATATATAAAAATGAGGATTTTATTAATTCTAGGATTCCCAGGAAGAATATGAATGGTATGCAATGTATATGACATAGCATCTGGACATTGTTTGGATTCAATAACTAGTACCTAGTAGGGGCAGTATGGTGGTTAAGACATTAGACTGGACTCTGGACTTCCAGTATTCAAATCGTGTCTCTGCTACTTCTTAGCTTTGTGACTTTGGGCAAATAGCTGAACCTCTCTGTTTCTTCATTTCTTCATCTGTAAGATGGGGACCACAATAATACTTGCTTCATAAGACGGTGAGAATCTAATGGTGTAGTGTGCATAAGGTACTTAGTACAGTGCCTGGTAAATAGGGAAGTCCTCAATTATTATTAGCTATTGATAACGTAAATCTTATTATTCAGTTTGGTCATCAAATATCCCTACACCAGCTTTAACTTTCTATTTGTCATTCTGAAATATCAAGATTTTCCAACCTCTTACATTTTTTATTTATTATTTATTATTATTTTTGAGTCAGCATCTTGCTTTGTCACCTAGACTGGAGCACAGTGGCACAATCTTGGCTCACTACAACCTCTGCCTCCTAGGCTCAAGCGATTCTTCTGTCCCAGCCTCCTGAGTAGTTGCGATCACAGGTGTGCTGCCACCACACCTGGCTAATTTTTGTATTTTCAATAGAGACAGGGTTTTGCCATATTGGCCGGGCTGGTCTTGAACTCCTGGCCTCAAGTGGTCTGCCCGCCTTGGCCTCCCAAAGTGCTGGGATTACAGGCATGAGCCACTGCACCTGGCCCCAACCTTTAAAAAAATTATTTATATATATTTCTTTGAGTAGTTTTAACTGATCTTTTAAAAAGGTTTTAAATAATTAGAACACATTTGTGCAAAGCATGCTCTAATTCACTCAGGACCCTTCCTGCTGAGTGAAGTTCACCCCTCCATTCTGCTGCTTACCTTCATCAAGAAGCCAGGTCTACTGTCACTTTGGAAGTTTTCGAAACTACTCAGCAGATGTATAGGGTGCGGAAAAGGCCTTGGAGCTCAGGACTAGAAGCCCAAGATTCAAGTGCTGTCTCCTCCCACACCTTGTCGCAGGACTTTTGTCAAAACATACCCCTCTATGCTTTAGTTTCTACAACTGAAAAAATGAGAATATCTGCTTCAAGTTATAAAAGCACATATGAAAAACAATCAAAACTATGGAATGAAAAATTTGTAAAATGCAAAATTATGAAGCACTGCATAAATATGGAATGTAGCTGAACTGCTTTATTTCCAATCTCCTTTAGTATCTCAGTGACCCAAACTTTTGTTATGGCCACAAAATGAGGTTTTGTGTTTTACGGCTCATTTAACTGTGGTGGTGTAGTTTCCTGTGCCCTCTCAATCTGGGCTGTTGATTTCAGGCCTATGATTGCTCCTACCTCTCTACTCCAGTGTTTTTGGGGTTTTTAATTTCCAAGTTTCAGAACTTATGAAAAAATGATTTTTCCTTTCTCTCTTAATGCCACATTGAAAGAAAAATAAATTACTGTCCTTACAGACACGTGACTAAAAACAAATCAAACAAAACTATTAGGGGCAAGCATTGCTTCTCTCAAACAATACCATGTCTCTTCATGGTTCCAGTATAATATTTTAAAATTAGAGGCAAAACTAACATGAAAAACAAGATAGTCTAGTTATTGATGCAAGTACATTTTCAGTGAACACATTCAGCTATAAGAGGACAATGTTGGCTGATGAGTTTCCACCTGGGTGTCTAAGCTAGCAGTAATTGCATTGGTGCTAGGGACGGGCTTCTAGTTGATTCAAATTTGGATTGTACGTGACTGCCACTTTTTTGTGTTATGTACAATCAAGTAAATGGACGAAATATGAAATCCACTTAACACATGCAGTTTAACCAGGAGGAAAATGATTCTGCCAGTACTAAGGTTTATCTCTGATGAGTTTTCAGTCTGCTAAACTGGGAAACTTATAATTTTCTGTCAATTTAGGCTCTAAATTTCCTCCAATGGGAAGTGAGTTGGGGGTGGGTTCGTAGAGATCCTCTATTAAGCTAGCATCCACAATTTGCCACCGTGGGAATATATGCATTTGTGTTTCATGTTCAAATTTTTTGTTGGAAGAATAATGTCATGAACTTTAAATGGGTTGTAGTTTTCTTCCATCGTTTATTCAGCCTGCAATTTACCAAAATAATGGGCTGTTTTGCAAAGATCATTAAGTGGAATTTGTTTTGTTTTGTTTTGTTTAGTCACATATTCCTAATGTCTTGTTTGCAGGAAGTCTTACTTGCTCTTTCCCCAGCTGGAAGTGATCTCTCACATATTTTTATTTTTGGATTTCTTTTATGGCATGTGTCACTTCCTGTTTCAGCTTATAGATACCTATGTGTGTCTTATTTTTCCCACTAGAATATTCCCACCACTTTGAGAAATGGTGTTTTGTATACTATATTTCCAGTATTTTGAATAGATTACGTGGTTAAAAAAAATGGAATACATAAATCAAAAAAATACCTAACTTTAATAACAACTGCAAAGAAATCTATAGTCCCCAGAATGAACAGGGGAATCTAGTGAAAAATATTCCTGATTTGGGTAAAAGAATCAGCTCTGCTGTTTTCTGGCTACCAAGGAGTCCGAGTTGGTATGACCTTAAGCAATATTCTCATTTTCTCTAAGTTTTTTTCTTCTGTGAAATGGAAATTATTTATGTACACCTCACAGAACTGATGCAAAGCTCTAAGTTAGGTAATGTATGTATAGGTGTTTTGTGAACTACAAAGCACTGTATAAATGTAAGAAATCAAGCCATATGTGAAGAGGAATCCGGAGCCTTTGGTGATTTGCACATTTAACTGACTTTGCAGCCCTTGAGAGAAACTGATGAGCCACATGTAAGTATCTGGAAGAGGGCCCGCCTCATGGTAGTTACTCAATATGTATTTGATGAACTGAATTATTGATAAACTCCAGTTATCAAAAGGGTTTTCTTAGAGAGTCAAAGGTTGGAACACAGGAAGAAGAAACTCACAGTTAGCTGTGTGGCTTTGTCATGGTTGTTGGATTCGTGCGTAAGTTACAATTCTACAGAGATTTGGACGTATTCCTTAAGAGAACTGTTGTTTGAAAGTGCTGTGTAGGATTTACCTAGAGGGCTCAGCAGGGACCATTTCTTGAATTGCTTAACAGAACTAATGCTCAGAAATTATCCTTGAGCCATCCAGCAACTGGAAATCTAAGAACTGTTTCAGAGGCAAGATATACCTCAAACTTAGAGTGATTAAAGCAAGCAGTGCTGAAGGCAGTTTTCATTAGTGACTGCTACCAAATGGAATCACAGCAGTAGCTAAGATCTATCCTTTAATTCATTAAAAAATAATGAATGCCCACTCTGTGCCAAATGCTGTTTAGATACAGGGATTTAGGTATAAGCAAGAAGGATAAAAATTCCTGGCCATCAGAAACAAACTTCCTCAGGAATAGCCATTGGCAGATGCTGCCACTAAAAGCTAGTGTCAATGGAGAACTACTAATGGTGGTGGCTCTGTCCCTGGGTCCATGAATGGTGCACATGGACAGAAGCACCTGCAGAGGAAATCCTGAGGTCTCTCCACCACTCCAATGTGAGCCATCCAAGATTCAGGGGAAAGAGTGGCGGTCACTGATTTTTTAAAAATAAAATGTCTTTTTCTATAAAAAAGTTGTGACTTGATTCCCAATGTTAGTTTACCTTGATTAATTCTCCACATCTGTGCACTGTTCTTCTCTCTTATATTACTTATCACTTGCTAGCTTATCTTACGGTTAACTTTTCTTAAAAGGAATATAGACTAGAAGGAAGTAGAATTATCATTGCTGGAAAATTTATTAAAGATATCCGTGCTTTAGTAAGAAGTCTAAGATAGTTTTTAAAGGTTGAGTGACTCAGTAATAACATTCTCTTCCCACGGCTGCTTGACATGATATTTTGACCTATGGTGGACTCCCTTATACTTTTAGATACTGTCATTTAGTATTCATTATGGCACTAGAAATGATGCCAAAAGATTGAAGAGGGCATGAAAATATTCACAGGTTGGATGGAAATGCATTCTATAGACTACTAAGTGTCATGCTGAGAAATGGAATCTGTTTGGGCAAAATAAGAGAATTGAGGTTAATTAAAAAGTTTTCTTTTTAAATTTTTGCTATTCAGAATAGTTGCCCGTGTTTCATATAAATTTATGGGTGATATTGTCAGATTAAGAGCCTAGGCTTTGACATCAGCCTGGTTGGGTTTCAACATTTATTGGTTATGTGATCTTGGGGGAAATAATTTATCCTCATTCTACAGATGAAGAAACTAAAACTCAGATCATTATTGGTACCTCTGATACAGGTTGTTAGAAGAATCAAATAATGGGCCGGGTGTGGTGGCTCACGCCTGTAATCCCAACACTTTGGGAGGCCGAGGCAGGCAGATCATTTGCAGCCAGGAGTTCGAGACTAGTCAGGGCAACATGGTGAAACCATATATATATATATGCTGGGTGTGGTGGCAGGTGCCTGTAGTCCCAGCTAGTCGGGAGGCTGAAACACGAGAATCACTTGAGCTTGGGAGGCAGAGGCTGCAGTGAGCTGAGATTGCACCACTGTACTCCAGCCTGGGTGACAGAGGGAGACCCCATCTCAAAAGAAAAAAAAATAATATATGCAAAGGACCTAGCATAGTGCCCACATCTAAGCACAAAATAGATTTTCTATGATGGTGAAATTACTCCTACTTAGTTATATCTAAGAATATTTTGGTTAATTCTCTGCCAGATACTGTCTTCATTTGCATACTATATATTGGCTCACATACCATTTTAATGAATATGAACAATTATATTTAAATACTAACATTTTTAATTCTTTAAAATCAGCTTATAGCTTATTTAAAAGGTTTCTGATTCAAATGAACACCTATGTGCTAAATATTTTTACAGATGTTTGAAGAAAAAAGACAAAAGTGCAGTTAGCCTTGCAGGAGACATTTTTATTAATGATATTCAGTGGTCTAATTTGTTAATCTTAACTCTCATATAACCTTGGAAATGTAGATTATCATACATATCAATCACTGTGTGTTTTCTGTATGCCAAACATAGTTATATACATAACAGAGAGATCCTGCTAATTTAGTAACAAAGGATAAAGTTGGCTTCAAGTTCAAAATGAGCTTCTGGCGGCAGAATATAAAGAGAGCCACATATGAACGCATCTATTCGGTGTACCAGTTAGCATACTTTTATTTGCAAATGATGAAAAACCTGACACTCATTGGTTTAAGCCAAAACAAAAACAAAGCCATAATAACAAAAGGAGATGTATTTGCCTACTCAACAGAAAACTCTAATTGTAGTATATAATTCAAAGGCTCAAATTATTAGGTTGGTATAAAACCAATTGTGGTTTTTGCCATTAAAGTAATGGCAAAACTCTTTCCACCTTATTTGCTTTATACTCCACAGACTACCAAGAAGTCTGCAAAATAGCCACCAGTAGCGCAGACCCATAATCCTCCCAGGTATAAGTTGGTAGAAAAGGAGGACTTCCCAGTTTTCTTGGAGTAACTTGTGCTGCATATCTATCCCCAAATTAGTTACTTGGCTTGGGTGATTTGATATGCTGGCAAGCCAGTCCTGGGCTATTTATGCAACCCCTGGAACAGGAGTCCATCCTATGAGCCACACGGGGTGAGATGAAGTCGAGGAGGACTCTAGAAGAAAATTGTGAGCGCTCTTGCCAAAAAGAGGGAGGATGTGTGCTCTGCAGGAAACAACAAATGTCTATCAGAGAGGAGGTGTTATTAATAAGTCAAGGCCAAATCTGTCAGATGTAAACTCTACCCTGTAGAGTAAATTCTGCTTGGAATGAGAACTTGAAGCAGATGACCACGAATGCCCTCTTAATTTCTAAAATGTGAATCTAATCATATAAGAAGGTGTTCATAACTGGTTATCTGTAAGAATAGGAAAAGAAAATTACTTAGAATTATAGCAAGATTGTGGCAGATTTAATAATGTATTCCAGAGTTTTTCAAATCATACTAAAAACACGATTGGGAAGCATCTTTTCCCAGGCTTTTTTTTTTTTTTTCATAAGAACAAGAGCAAAAACATCAGACACTGATTTATCCTAAGGAGTCAGTTATGACAGTCACTTCAGTTATTGGTGATTCATAGCTTCTCCATGAGACACACAGTAGTGTTGAAGAAGAATTCCCATAACCCTTTCCTGAAAAATCTTTGACTGTCTTTACTTTTAGAGAGAACAAAATATTAAGAGTTAATATTTATTGGGTAGCTCCTATATGGTTGCCACTACCCTAACATGTTCACTTACGTTACTCAGTGAATCCTAGCCATGACCCTCTGAATCAAGCAGTATGATTGTTACCATTTTACAGATGAGAAAACGGAGGAATAGAGAGATTAAGTAATAAGTAATGTAGGTTATAAATTACATAATAAGCATGTGATGTGTCTTAACCTGTTTTAATGCTATTAAATATGATAGTAGTTTAGATTGTCCAAAATAGAAAGTCTAGTTATGATTTGAGATTAATAAATACATTAATATTTGTGTATTATTTTGATTTATACATTATGTTTATTCATATAATACATTGATAAACTATGTATTCTTGTTTATATTGTCAAAACTTTGACAACCAGGAGTTCAATAATTTTGACTTAAACAGCTTCATACCAATAATGCCACAATATATATTTCTTTGTAATCTTTACTGATTTATTTATAAAAAAATTTACAAAAATATATTTGGAAAATAACTTGTGAATTTTCCAAAATTATGCTAAATAACAGGTGACAGAATATATTTATGCTATATACATAATATATATAAAATATGTGTTATGTATAAAGTAACTCAAATTCAAATCTATAAATATGTATGTATTTAAATATATACATATTTATATATATTTGGGTTTGAATTACTTTATTTTGTATATATTTTAAGTATATATGTTTTATATATTTATATATTCCAATATAAAAAATATATATTCAAATATATATGTTTTATATATATTTGGATTTGCATCACTTTATATTTCTTTTTTATTATACTTTAAGTTCTGGGGTACATGTGCAGAATGTGCAAGTTTGTTACATAGGTATACACATGCCATGGTGGTTTGCTGCACCCAGCAACCCATCATCTACATTAGGTATTTCTCCTAATGCTATCCCTCCCCTAGCCCCCCTACCCCTGACAGGCCCCGGTGTGTGATGTTCCCCTCCCTGTCCATGTGTTCTCATTGTTCAACTCCCACTTATGAGTGAGAATATGTGGTATTTGGTTTTCTGTTCCTGTGTTAGTTTGCTGAGAATGATGGTTTCCAGCTTCATCCATGTCCCTGCAAAGGACATGAACTCATCCCTTTTTATGGCTGCGTAGTATTCCATGGTGTGTATGTGCCACATTTTCTTTATCCAGTCTATCATTAATGGGTATTTGGGTTGGTTCCATGTCTTTGCTATTGTGAACAGTGTCAAAATAAACATAGGTGTGCATGTGTCTTTATAGTAGCATGATTTATAATCCTTTGGGTATATACCCAGTAACGGGATTGCTCGGTCAAATGGTATTTCTGGTTCTAGATCCTTGAGGAATTGCCATCCCCTTTCCACAATGGTTGAACTAATTTGTACTCCCACCAACAGTGTAAAAGCGTTCTATTTCTCCACATCCTCTCCAGCATCTATTGTTTCCTGACTTTTTAATGATCCCCATTCTAACTGGTGTAAGATGGTATCTCATTGTGGTTTTGATTTGCATTTCTCTAATGACCAGTGATGATGAGCTTTTTTTCATGTTTGTTGCCTGCATAAATGTCTTCTTTTGAAAAGTGTCTGTTCATATCCTTTGCCCACTTTTTGATGGGGTTTTTTTCTTGTAAATTTGTTTAAGTTCATTGTAGATTCTGGATATTAGCCCTTTGTCAGATGAGTAGATTGCAAAATTTTTCTCCCATTCTGGAAGTTCATTGTAGATTCTGGATATTAGCCCTTTGTCAGATGAGTAGATTGCAAAATTTTTCTCCCATTCTGTAGTTTGCCTGTTCACTTTGATGATAGTTTCTTTTGCTGAGCAGAAGATCTTTAGTTTAGTTAGATCCCATTTGTCAATTTTGGCTTTCGTTGCCATTGCTTTTGGTGTTTTCATCATGAAGTCTTTGCCCATGCCTATGTCCTGAATGGAATTGCCTAGGTTTTCTTCTAGGGTTTTTATGGTTTTATGGTTTTATGGTTTTAGGTCTTATGTTTAAGTCTTTAATCCATCAATTAATTTTTCTGAATAAAATGGAATGATATGCATTTTATATCCACCCAGCTTTTAATTAACATTTTAGTTTTTTTATCACATTTTATTAGCACTTTTTATTTTTTTTTTCTTTCCAACTTTTGAGTTCAGGAGGTACCTGCACAGGTTTGTTATGTAGGTAAATTGCATGTCACAGAGGTTTGGTGTACCAATTATTTCGAGGTGACTGTTTTTGACTAGGGTTATGAGTGATGTTGGTATAACATAGACTTGAAAATAATTACCTTATTTTCTGTAATGCATTGCTTTTCAGTCTTTATGTCTATTTTTTTATATGCATTCCTGTCAATTCGATTTTATAACATAATGTTAGAATATTGAGCCTTTCTGAAAGCAAAACCAGAGAATACACACACACTTTGGCCAATTTGTAAAGCCTCAAAGGGTAACACCTAGACAGTCAGAATAAATAAGCCCGGTTAAAAGCATTGAACCTATAAATATTGCCAGTTTTCCAGCCTGTGTGCCAGTAAATAATTTAAAGTTCCTTACATTGGGCTAGGAAGGATGTTAAAAGGATGGAATTCTGGACCAGTTACTAGCTAGGTGGCAATGCAGATACTTCACTGGTGGCAACTAGACTATTGATATTCCCTAGCATGTATTAGTAGTGCTACTGCCAAGACTTTTATCCATGATTTTCTGGGATAGGATAGATGTGGAAGAAGAAGCCACTTACAGTGCAATCCCAGCATTTGAGAAGCATGAGATAAATAGTAGCTATAAGGACTATGGACATGGGGCTGTTTATTAAGCACCAGTGATTCATTGAAAAAAGGAAATGATTGTTTCATAACTATTAAAGCAAAGTGTGAGAGTCCAAGGTCTTCGAAAACAGCATTGAACGAGATTCTTATCTCATGCAGTTGGAGGACAGATACAGATGAAGATAAGGCACAGAGTGGTAGAACTTCATAAAAGGTTGAATTTTCAGCCAAGGCAAGTATTCTATACCAAGGTTAGCTCAGCTAGGGAAGGAGTGGGATCGTAAAACTTGGAATGAGTTTGTTTGTATAGATGCACTTTACATTTTGATAGAATGTTGAGACTTCAGACTCCTCTGAACCTTCTGGGTCTATAGAAAAGGAGTACTACCCAGTATTAGAAGACAGAGGGCTCCCTTTCTTTTGTTGAAAACTATGCAAAGAGCTCAAAACAGGCAGTGCCTTTTTTTTTCTTTTATTATTATACTCTAAGTTTTAGGGTACATGTGCACATTGTGCAGATTAGTTACATATGTATACACGTGCCATGCTGGTGCGCTGCACCCACCAACTCGTCATCTAGCATTAGGTATATCTCCCAATGCTATCCCTCCCCCCTCCCCCCACCCCACAACAGTCCCCAGAGTGTGATGTTCCCCTTCCTGTGTCCATGTGATCTCATTGTTCAGTTCCCACCTATGAGTGAGAATATGCGGTGTTTGGTTTTTTGTTCTTGTGATAGTTTACTGAGAATGATGATTTCCAATTTCATCCATGTCCTTACAAAGGACATGAACTCATCATTTTTTATGGCTGCATAGTATTCCATGGTGTATATGTGCCACATTTTCTTAATCCAGTCTATCATTGTTGGACATTTGGGTTGGTTCCAAGTCTTTGCTATTGTGAATAGTGCCGCAGTAAACATACGTGTGCATGTGTCTTTATAGCAGCATGATTTATAGTCCTTTGGGTATATACCCAGCAATGGGATGGCTGGGTCAAATGGTATTTCTAGTTCTAGATCCCTGAGGAATTGCCACACTGACTTCCACAATGGTTGAACTAGTTTACAGTCCCACCCTTTTAAGATAACTTTTTCGCTTATCAGGATCCATCTCCGTCTCTCCTCCTGGCCATTATTCCATAATTGGGGGCAATTTCAAAAAATTATTTATTTTTGCTGAGGTAAAATATATATCTATAATTTACCATCTTTATAATTTTTAAGCATACAGTTCAGTGGTAATAAATACATGTACATTCTCTTTTGTTCCCTTCATCAACCTCTCCCCTCTTCCTTTCCCAGCCTCTGGTATCCACCATTCTACTCTCTGTCCTCATAAGATCCACTTTTTTAGCTTTCACAGATGAGTAAGTCCGTGTGAAATTTACTTTCTGTTCTTGGCTTATTTCAATTAACATAATGTCCTTCAGTTCCATTCATGTTGCTGCAAAAGACAGGAATTTATTCTTGTTTTATGGCTGAAAAATATTCCATTGTGTGTATGTACCATATTTCTTTATTTGTTAATCCATGGATGGATGTTTGTGCTCATTCCTTATTTCTCTTGATTCCTTATTTTGTGAATAGTGCTGCAATAAACATAGGGGTGCAGGTATCTCCTTGACATACTGATTTCCATTCTTTTGGATATGTATCCAGTAGTGGGATTGTTGGATCATATGGTAATTCTAGTTTTAGTTTTTTAAGGAACCTCCATATTGTTCTCCATAGTGGCTGTACTAATTTACATTCCTGCCAACAGTGTGCAAGGGTTTGGAGTCAAATATTTGCATAGTCCAAGAGAGAAAGTATTGGATTGCTAAGGGAAGAAAAATGGTATATGTGAAAGGGGGAGCTGAACCTGGCTTACACATACTGCCAGGAATATGAGAGTGTGACTGAGAGGGAATCTTGAGGGTGCTTGATCAAGGTGGCTAGGATATATAGCTGGATTAGGAAGAATTTGTCAACATGAAGCCATCTTCCTGTGACACTCTGTAGTCACTGGAGATGGGGCTTCTATGGTTCTGTCATTTCTATTTGAAAGCTTAGAGGAAAAATATTTCTCACTAAACAAAGAATAGGTGTGGAAACTTACATTTTAAACAAAGAAGACAAGTGAGAATGTTACTGGGAACTGAGGAATACTCAGTTTTTTGTCTTTACTGGGAGAAAGAATTCAGCCAGGTGTGAGATTTTTCAGACCTTTCTCTCCACTAGGGGCTCCTCCTCCTGCTCATGTCTAGCTATCTGCCTAACAGGAATACTAGAGTGGGTTTGTTATATAAGAAGAGAAAAGTCACTAGCTTACTATGTTCCTCAGAATACTCCATTTAACATTGCAATAAGGAATATACTGATGAGGGAGCCACCAGCATCACTCAGGGCTTGGAGATGTTCTTCACAACTCCCTCCCAGTAGCACTGAGGATCATGGGGTCCTGGAATAGCTGAGGGCCATGTAGCAATATTTTACCACGACAGGCAACATAAGAAAGTGTTATAGATACTATTGTGCTACACCCAGATGCCCTCTTCTTCAGGAGTGACTTACTCACACCCCAGCTTCTGGGAATACTGGCTGCTACTGGCTTCAAGGAACTATATTATCCAAGGTTTTACTCCTTCTCAGGAAACAGCATTTTGCCAATGATTAGCTAATGAAGGGGATGTAAAGGCCTGGCACTTTGCAAGAAGAGGTGGGTTATCCTTCAGAATGTGGTGTTTGCTTTAAACCAATAGCCATAATATGGTGCTGTGTGTCTCTTATAGGTAAAATATAAGCATTTCAGAAACGAAGGGTAGAAGTAGAAGTAATCCTGCTCATCAGTGATCCTGGTAAGTGAGGAATTTGTGTTTCCTAACTCTTGAATGTTAGGCTTTATAGGTCTAGAAGTTATGGTTTGCAGAGAAGGTACGCTTTCATGAGGGAGCATTTGTTAAGAGTCTCACTAAATGCAAAGCTATGGTTTCTGCCTATTCCTTTTTGTTTCCATGTGCCAGTAGTCTAGCAAGCCAAGAAGGGAGATACCATACCCGTAGCAGTAACTGACCTTTATAATCATGAAAAGAGGGGAAGGATTGAAGCTACATAATAGGAAGGAATAGATTTGTTACTCAGGTCATCCACTGAGGTGTCAAAGTACTCCCATGCCTTGTTGTGTCTGTTAATGGGCCAGTAGGGCAACCATGGACAGATGAGTGCAGAGTAACCAGGCCCGAGACCCCACAGAGATGAGATTCTAGGTTAACCCCTCAGGGAGTACACAGATCAGTAGAAGTGCTAGACAAAGTGAAGGGAAATCTAGAATGGGAAGAGGGAGGGGATATGTATCAGTTATGGCCTTCAGACAAATTGCAGCAGCTGGGGCTGTAGTTCATGCCACTGAACTTCCTCTTGAAAGTTTTCCCAGAAATTGTGACTAATCACAATCTTGGAGGAGTTGTATTTTGATAGAATAAACTTAATGTGAAAAGCAAATAGATCTGAGCAATGCAAGGGCAAATGGATGCAGTGGATGTCTTGGTGCTCAGACCATCTTTATTATTTTGGTATACCTATCTTCCAGCAGCTGCTTTGAATGTTGCTAAAGAAACAGCTGTCAAATGGAGGAGATTGTCAAACAGAGAAGATTAGCTGCCAGGATCTGACTTACTTAGGTGATTTTATTTAGTGTCCCCCCAAGCCCCTACTTCCCCAGGCAGACTAAAACCAGTGACTAACACGAGGGTACAAAGGGGTGCAGCCTTCTTTCCTTAAAATGAGACTGTGGTTAGTCTGTCCTTGTGTTGCTGTTAAGAAATACCTGAGACTGGGTAATTTATTAAGGAAAGAGGTTTAATTTGGCTCATGGTTCTGCAGGCTGTACAGGAAGCATGGTGCCAGCATCTGCTTCTGATGAGGGCCTCAGGAAGCTTACACTCATGGCAGAAGATGAAGGCGAGCCAGCATGTCACATAGGGAGGACAGGAGCAAGAGATCATGAGTGAACTAACGGAGTGAGAGCTCACTTGTCACCAAGGGGATGGTGTTAAAACCATTCATGAGGGATCTTCCCCCATGATCCAATCAGCTCCCACCAGGCCCCACCTCCACCCACTGGGAATTACATTTCAACATGAGATTTGGAGGGGACGAACATCCAAACCATATATGAGAGACCAAATCTGTGGTGCACTTTGCATTCCAGAGCTTTCCCATGGTATCAAACTGAAGCTAGTCTCTAGACAAGACCACATTCTTGCTTATTTTCTTCACCTTATCTTGCTTCTTTTACCTCCCTTCTCCTGAGAGCATTCTGTCAATAAACAATTTTAACAAGGATCCTCATCTCAGGCTGTTTCTTGGAACTTGACCTAAGACAGGAGCCTTTGGCAAAATGGTGGTATTTGAAGCCAGGCATGTTAGTGAGATCATTTAAGAAGAGTACAGAATGGGAAAACTCTGGAGGAATAACAGTGGTTAAAGAGCAGGAATACGAAGAAAAACCAAGATGCTGAAGAACAGGAAATAAACCAAGAATATTGGAGAAGCTAAAAAGGAGTAAGTCAAGAAAGATACAGTAGTTAAAGTGTCAAGTGGAAAGAAAGCTGTAGCAGATGCTGTTAGTTCCCTCGCAAGATTTTTTGGGTTCTCTTTCAATTTGGAGGCTTGCCCTTGGGCAATTAGAGGGTCTTACCAGTTGTGCCTGGTAGTTCAAAGTCAGACTGGGGAGTGGGTACAAAAGCTCTGATCCTTTGCTTTAGGGTGAAATAGGCTCTGCAGTACAATTTATGTTCCAGAGCTTCCTGTGGAATCTCATGGAGGCTAGTCTTCACCTGAAACCACATCGTTGCTTTGCCTCTTCCTCTTTCCTCACACTATTTTTTTTTTTTTTTTGAGATGGAGTTTCACTCTTGTCGCCCAGGCTGGAGTGCACTGGCACAATCTTGGCTCACTGCAACCTCTGCCTCCTGGGTTTAAGCGATTGTCCTGCCTCAGCCTCCTGAGAAGCTGGAACTACAGGCCTGCACCACCATGCCTGGCTAATTTTTGGTATTTTTAGTAGAGACGGGGTTTTGCCATGTTGTCCAGGCTGGTCTTGATCTCCTGATCTCAGGTGATCTGCCAGTCTTGGCCTCCCAAAGTGCAGGGATTACAGGCGTCAGCCATTGGGCTCAGCCCCTCTTTCCTCACACTGAGAGCTTGGGCTCCTTAGAAACCAAGTTGAAGATTTTGGTTCACACAATTTATTGATGGATTGCTAAGATGAAAGTTCAAGTAAGGTAAGTACAAAAAAGTATTTTTAGAATTTGGAAACTAGGATGTAAGTAGTGATCGTGGGGCAAAAGTCAGATTAGAGTGGATAGAAGTATAAATGGGAGGAGAGTTACGGAAATCAATGCGCTTAGACAACTATACCAAGCGTTTTGTTGTGAAACTAAATAGAGCCATAGAAATAGACAGATTTGGAAATCAAGTTAAGGGAGATGTGTGTGTATGTGTGTGTGTGTGTGTGTGTGTGATGTAGGTGTTTTAAAATATCAAACTCTTGAGCATTCTATATGTTCAGAGAAAATATCCATCGAAAAGGGAGAAGTTGACAATCCAGGAAAAGATGTGGAACCAGTGTCACTGAACACCTGTGTGATTCTCATAAAAGTCACACCTGTGTGATTCTGAATAAAGACCACAAACTCAGAATAAAATATGAATGGCAACTTTTTTTAACATCTGGTAAAAGTACTTGCAGTATTGAGCCTCAGGTACTCGGAAGCATCCAAACCTTCTGAATAGAAAATGATGATAATTTTCTCTAAAACAGATAAATAGGACCTTAAAAACAATAGATTGCTGATTGCCTGGTTTGTGCCATATAAAATATATTTCCTGTTGCTAGGTAAGATGTGATAAATGACACGGCAAATCATGTGTGCTATTTTAGGAGCTTACCAATGACTTAAAATGAGACTGACACATTACCAAATTGGGCTGGATAAAGAAAATGACAATCTAGATAAGGAGAAAAGGGACTAAATAAGAATTTGAATGTTTTAAATTCAATTAATAGGCCAGGCCCAAATGGAGCCAACCAGGTTACTGCTGTCCTTGCCCCCTTAGCAAATGTAGAACAAGCCAGAACATTAAAAAACACAGCCTGAACATGCCTTATGGGTATGTGGGTGTGCCACATAGGCAGAGGCGAAGCCAAGGACATAAATTAATTAAGAAGCAAGGAAGGGACTTAGGACTGCGTGAGACATGAAGGAGTCCAAGAAACAGCAAGAACTGCAATCACTGAGAAGATGACCTGGGAACCTAGCAGCCAACTGTGCCATCAAGTTAATAAGAACATGTCGGCCAGTTGCGGTGGCTCACTCCTGTAATCCCAGCACTTTGGGAGGCAGAGGTGGGTGGATCACTAGGTCAAGAGATGGAGACCATCCTGGCCAACATGGTGAAACTAAAAATACAAAAATTAGCCGGGTGTGGTGGCATGTGCCTGTAGTCCCAGCTACTCAGGAGGCTGAGGTAGAAGAATCGCTTGAACCCAGGAGGTGGAGGTTGCAATGAGCTGAGATCGTGCCACTGCACTCCAGCTTGGCAACAGAGCGAGAATGCGTCTCAAAAAAAAAAAAAAAAAAGAAAGAAAAATCAATGAATATAGACCATAAGTAGGCTAGATGTGGTAGAGTCTATTAAAATATTTAGACAATGAGCCCTGTGTCAAGGATATTGTGATTCTTACCATATACTTGAAATCCTTATCTTAAAGTCTAATAGTTTTTGAGAGCAGCTTAGCCTCATCATGTAAATGTTGCCCTCTCATTTTTCCATCTGCAGTTGCCAACTGTCCATTGATGGTCATTCATCTTATTTTCCATTTCTCCTTGTTTTTCAAAGAGTTTGTCATCTTAGCTCTGGAAGCTCTAGCCTGTTTGTACAGTTTCATCTGTTGGCTCAATTCAGGAAATTTACAAATTGGTAATTCTTCACCATGTTTAGCACATGATGCAAGCACATATTTAAGGATTGTCTCCAAGGTCAAAGACGGAGCGCTATCTTCCAGTCTGAAATGTGGCAAGAATCATTAACCGCATGAGCGTCTATCCTACAATTTTTGTACCTCAGAATGTCCATTCCTTGGCCCTTCCATTACATTTTATTCAGAGAAGCAAGTGTGAGGAGTTGAGCTGTATCTGGTTCACAAGCTTGGGCAACAGCTTGACCTAAAATGTAAGTTCTATATTTTGCTTTGTGGATTAACTGATTCAGACTGTGTCAGGCTCCAGTGGGTTAGTCATTTTAAAGGCCACACGCCATACAGTGAGACTGTCCTCCCACCAGCGTGACTTTTTCTCCTCCTTTACTAATGTGCTGTTAATACAAAGGTCACTCAGTGTGGTCTGAATTGGAGATGACCTTTCCATGATAGTCAGGTTTGATAACTGCTTTCCTTACTTTTATTGTAAAAATAATAATTAGCGAGTATGATCCTTTGTAAAGATAATCCTCTGTTATAGATTCAGCCACAAACCTTCTGTTGCTAAATATTTTCTGTAACTCTGTTACTACGAGGAACAGCTAATGCTCTGTCACTAACTCTGCAGACCCTTTTTAATCCCTCAGTTTTCAAAAATCATTACTAGTTATCTTTAGATAACTGTAGGGGTAAAAACCTTTCAGATGGAAAAAAAAAAAAAAAAACTCATGGGAGCCACCACAGAAATGCAAATGACAATGTCAGCAGGTTAGGTTTTCAACTTGCCAGAAAACCAGCCGCATCTTCAGAGCTAGTCAAAACATTAATGAGAATGTATTTTAAAACATCATTCTAACTAATCTTGGTAGATATAGTCACCAAATAGGCAAACAGAAGATGTGGTAATCACTGCAAAACTTTTTTCTTTTGTGTCCCTCCCACTGCACTGTGCTTACCCTGCCTCTTTTCCTCATGGTTGTACTCCTGCTTGAACAGCTCTAAAGTCTGACACAAGACAGAATAAAAGGCTGTTCCTCCGCTTCAGGGACCTAGAGTACAGTGGGAGTGGAGTGGAATATTATGTCAATAACCACAGGACAAGGTTTTAAGTGTTCTGAAAGTAGTAAATATAAGGTGCTGTATATGAGGATAAGAACTTGAAGGAAGAGAAATTAAACTCAGGTGGTGAGGGTGGGGGCAAAAGGGAACTCATGTTTTTCCATTCTTTTCCTTCTGAATTAAAAATGTTGCTGCTCACTCACTCTTTCAAACTCCTTCCAGGCTTTCACCATGAACATGTGATCCATCAGCAGATCTTGTAGATCTGTCTCCTCTCCCCCTCATTGCTTTTCTCATCCCTCTTTTGGTCCTTTCTTTTAGTCTTTGGTCAAAATCATTCATCACAAAATCATGCTTCCTAGATCTAGAATGCTCTTCCTTACTCATTTGAACTGGCTTCTCCCTGGAAGAGAATTTGCTCTTGGAGGGCAAGGACTGTGAATGAGTGAGGGACTTTTTAGCTGGGAGTTTCACACCGTATGTGTGAAAGAGGGTGAAGGGATGGAAGAGCACTAAGTAATTTTGGAAGTTTAGGAGGTTTCCTAAGGTTCTGTTGTTAAAGATGGGAATAACGAGACAATCAACATGCTCAGAGACTGCAAGTAGTGTTGCGTAGTGGTCTAGGTTAGAGAAGTAAGTGGCAGAAGTGAAGTTGGAGGGATAGGTAGAAGTAGATTTTGTAATCATTTATACCATGCCAAATACTTCGACTTTCTCCTACCTAAAAATCAATGTTTCAGCCGGGTGCAGTGGCTCATGCCTGTAATCTCAGCACTTTGGGAGGCCGAGGCAGGCAGATCACGAGGTCAAGAGTTCCAGACCATCCTGGCCAACATGGTGAAACCCTGTCTCTACTAAATATACAAAAACTAGCTGGGCTTGATGGCATGTGCTTGTAATCCCAGCTACTTGGGAGGCTGAGGCAGGAGAAACGCTTGAACCCCGGAGGCAGAGGTTGCAGTGACCTGAGATGGCGCCACTGGACTCCAGCCTGGGCAACAAGAGTAAAACTCTGTCTCATTACTGAAATACCATTTACAGGGAAATATATTTCATGGATTTCCAGTGATGATTTAAAGTATACATATGTAACAAACCTGCACGTTGTGCACATGTACCCTAGAACTTAAAGTATAGTAATAAAAAAAGAATATTATGATATTTCTTAAATATGTACAGATGTGAAACTAGTTATAATCCCTTCATGCCTGACCTCTTTTATTACTGTCAAATGAAGACAAACTTATAAACTAAATAAAAAACAAAACTACAAGCCTTATAAAAGTCGAATTCATCATAGGAATTTGAAGCAATAGGTGGTGGTGGGTGAAACTGAATTGCTAGTTTGAGTTAAATATCAGCAGGTATATCTTTCTATTATTAATCTATCAATATATTTGTTTATTTGTTAATTTATTCTTTTTATTTTTACCTCGATTGACCATCCTTAGAGTCACCATCATTATCAGTGTCATCATTGTTATCATTTTTTTTAGCTAGGTTTTGGCTACTGCTCCATTATTTTGTTGGGTCAATCAATTTAATATTACATAGCAAACAAAACACCCCAAACATAAAAGAAAATTTAATATTTTCTTTTCTTAACCCTTTAGGGTACACTTTCCCTTGAATAGTTAATTGTAAGTTGTTTTGAACAAGACAGGATTTATATAAGCAGCTCCTCAAAGTGATTATGGCACTGAGTGCTATGGTGCTGGTACCTTTGTGTTCAGAAATCTTTGCTACCAGGAACCACATGGAAACTCAATTCTTCCAACTCTTTTCTTAAAATAAGTCACAATGGAACTTTTTTTCATACCCTGTAACATGATGTAGTCATGACTTGGTGCCAATTCCTAGATTACGTATTAAGTCTGCCAATATTTTTTCCTCATTAAACCACAACAACTAAATATATTAGTATGACATGACATATAGTGTTATTTTCCCAAGTGCCAATTTGTTAAAAAGCTTAGCTAAAATATAAAACTTTTAAAATTTGAAATGTAAATATAAAATATTTTAGTGTAACAGAATTATTTTACAAATTAAGAAAAATGTTATAAGCATACAATGGTGTAGATGGAAAAACCAGATTAGTTTGTCTGTCTGTATTTCTCCAGGTTTGTTATACACATTCTGAGTTTAAAGGTAGTGATTTATCTAATTTTGATTATTTATTCAAGCACTTAACAAATATTTATTGAATTCCAACCATTCAACATATTTATATTATAGAATATATCACCCAAAACAATGCTGAGCTTGAATTGTGTGGAGGTCAGTCGACAAACTAAAAATTTGAACTGCCAAGTTCAGCAGTCCAATTAGGAAATGATGAATGTCTGAACCTAGGTAAATCAATGAGGATGGAGGGGAGGATGGACATGTTTAGGAAGTAGAATTGACAGCATGCTGCATAAATTTGGGATCTGAGAGTTATCCTAGACTCTCTACTTCTCTCTCAGCTCTTGCCTTCTATAATTCACCAGAATAGATGTTATTTAGCTAGAGTAAAACTATGGGGGACTCCCTTCCTTCCTTCCTTCCTTCCTTCCTTCCTTCCTTCCTTCCTTCCTTCCTTCCTTCCTTCCTCTCTTCTTCCTCCTCCTGCTACTTCTTTTTCTCCTTCTCCTCCCTCCTCCATCATCCTTCTTCCTCCCTCCTCTTTCATCCTTCTTCCTCCTTTCTCCTTCTTCCTCTTCTTCTTTGGTTGTGAATTCATTTTGGAATCTTTTAGGTGCCCATGGACATTAAAATGGAGCTATTCTGATATGGCCCCTATGACCTATGAATAGACCCACGTAGGAGGAGGGGAGATGCCCCCCCCGATTTCCTTAGTTCTTAGGATAAATTGCAAATCTGAAAAGTATCGTATATAGAGTTTGGGTAATGAATATTAGCTTCTTGGAAGTGTAAACTTTTCTTAACATATGTGTCTTTTATTTACCTTTTAGACATTCAATTTTATTCTTTGCTTTTATTATTTTTAATTGATGCATAATAATTGTACATATTTATGTGGGTATGATACTTCAATACATGTATACCATAAGTAATAATCAAATATGGTAAGTAGCATACCCATCACCTCAAATATTTACTATTTCTTTGTATTGGAAACATTAAAAATCCTCTCTTCTAACTATTTGAAAATACACAGTAAGTTGTTAATTACAGTCACTCTACAATCTTATAGAACACTGTTATACACTGTTAAATAACTTACTCTTTTTATCTAGCTGTACTTTTGCATCCATTAACCAATTCCTTTCCCCTCGCCTCCTTTCCCAGTCTCTACCAAGCATTATTCTACTCTCTATTTCTGAGATAAAAATTTTTTAGCTTCCACATATGAGTGAGAACATTTGGTATTTTTCTTTCTGTGCCTGGCTTATTTCACTTAACATAGTGTTCTCAGTAATGGTTAATATTGAGTGTCAGCTTGATTGGATTGAAGGATGCAAAGTATTGTTCCTGGGTGTGTCTGTGAGGGTGTTGCCAAAGGAGATTAACATTCATGTCAGTGGACTGGGAGAGGCAGACCCACCCTCAGTGTGGGTGGGCAGCATCTAATCAGCTGCCAGTGCCGATAGAATAAAGCAGGCAGAAGAAGTTGGAAAGTGCAGACTTGCTGAGTCTTCCGGCCTTCATTTTTCTCCTGTGCTGGATGCTTCCTGCCCTCGAACTCCAAGTTCTTCAGCTTCTGGACTTTTGGCCTTACACCAGTGGTTTGCCAGGGGCTCTTGGCCCTTCGGCCACAGACTGAAAGCTGCACTGTTGGCTTCCCTACTTTGAGGTTTTGGGACTCAGACTAATCTCCCACTGACTTCCTTGTTCCTCAACTTGCAGATGGCCTATTGTGGGACTTCACCTTGTGATTGTGTGAGTTAATACTCCTTAATAAACTCCCCTTCATATATATATCTATCCTATTAGTTCTGTTCCTCTAGAGAACCCTGACTAATACATCCTCCAGGCTCCTCCATGTTGCTGCAAAGACATTCAACTTCTGAACATACTTTTTGGAAAGAGAGAGACAACCTGTGTAGACTCAGAATTTATTGGTGCAGATTTGACACCAGAGGAGAAGAGTGCTCAAGGAGCATATAAACTAGTAAAATGTGAAAAGCATTAAGCATAGAACTTTGGGAAATTCCATGCGTTTTCTTTCTTAAAACTTTTTTCATCATAGTTATTTTATTTTTTCAGTAAAGAAAATTTGAGATAGAAAAAGATAGAAAAAATTACTTATATATCTAAACATAACCATTATTAAAATGCTTTTGTATGGATTCTTCTAGCATTTTTTCCTACACATAAAGTTTTTTAAAAGTTCTATCTCCATTTGAAATGGAGTAGACAATAACATAAGGGACAGGTAGAATAAGAGGAACCTCTGAAGATAATTGGAAGGAGGCCAGAGCAGAAGCTGTTAGAGAATTGGCAGAGAACGTTGCTATAGAAGCTTAGAAAGAAAACCATTTTGACTGTTAGTACCATCAACATGACTGTGATTGAAAGCCCTTTTATTTGATAACTGGGGGTCTTCACTGATCTTAGGTAGAACAATTTTATGGAAAAGATGATTGTTTGGCTCAGTTTAATTTCAGAGTTACTTAAAACTGTAGGCCATTTTTATTAAGCTATGCTTTAAGCATAAATAACACAAATAATTGAAACTACTAAAGGCCTACTGGAGAACCCATATAACAAAGACTATAAAGAAGATGAAAAAACTACAAATCTTTGCCAGAAAAATCAGGAAAAAACCCAAATAACCCATAATACCAGCTAATCATTTCATTCTTCTCATTGGCTCAGTTTTTCTGGGTGATATTTGAAGTCTCTGTATATGTTCTCAGGGGGAGAACATTATTTTGAGGATCCTTCATCACATAAAAACATGAATAGTGTTTTTCATGTAAATTCAAACTGTCAGATTAAAAAAATAATGTGGGCCAGGCTAGGTGGCTCATGCCTATAATCCCAGCACTTTGGAGGTTGGGGTGGGAGGATTTCTTGAGGCCAGAAGTTTGAGGCTAGCCTTAGCCAGATGTGGTGGCATGTGGCTGTAGTCCCAGCTACTCTGGAAGTTGAGGCGAGAGGATTGCTTGAGTCCAGGAATTTGAGGTTACAGTGAGCTAAGATTGTGCCACTGCACTCTAAGCTGGGTGACAGAGCGAGACTCTGTCTCTAACAAGAAAAAAGTGAAAAGGTTTATGAGCACACAGGAATTTATTTACAAGGCATAGCATGATGGGGATTTTGATTCTATTCCCCAAAATGTAAATTACTTTATTAATTTAGATAATACGTCCTCCTCTCTTTGGATTGGGAAGCCCTTGATAATAAGCTAAGAAACTCAAAAAATAGCATTTTATTCCTTCCTTCACTCTTGCCTTGAAGATGTACTAATTGCTGCTTCTTGTTAAAAAGCCAATTGGCTTTTTAACGTAAACACGTTTTACGCATATCTCATATTTTCTTTTCATGTGCATTGTGCAGATCTATCCCCTTGGCCAGCACCACCTGCATACTGGGGAATATTGCTACCTCTGCATCACTATTATCCCCAACATTTTTCTCAGGACAGTTTGACAGGTTATTAGTCATGCATGACCCATGAGCAAATGAAAACCCAAAAGATATTTGTGATGCCTGATAGTTTTCCCAAAATAACATTTTCTTGGTACATATGTTTTTCTAACTGTTGTTTTTGCATTTTCTTACATATTTTGGAAATATTTCAGCAATTCGAAGGAAAATTGGAAAATATGTTGTTTTCTCAGATCCAGGTATGTGAGTCTAAGATGCTTGGAATTTTTATTTGGTTAGAATGAAGGAAAACAATTAGATATGTAGTATGAACTTGTCTATTTGTGAAACAAATGCATTTTGCTTTAATGCAGTACTCATCCTTTTGGTATTTATTTTTAGGAAGTAATGAATGTTGGAAAAATATTAAGAATTATGTAAACTCATCACTGAGGCAGTGCTCTGTGGGCCTCTCAGATGAGGAAGACCATGTCAGCATGTTTTTGGAATGCATCCATTGTGTCTAGCTCAAAGTACAAAAGTAAAATGTTTAAATAGTGTTTTTGCCTCCAAGGACATTCAATCTTTAAAGAGTACTAATGTGCTTTCACTTAAAACTTTTAAGTGTTTATCTTATTTTACTAAAAACAAAATTAACCTTAGAAGTAAGTCCTCTAGACATTGAGAGAAGAAAGATGAGTGTAGATTGAAATGTTTTTCACACTTGATTAAGACAGCTGATCTTGACTGGGATCTGGATTTTGGAAAGAGTAGTAGAAGGATTAAGTTGGTGAATGGTGAGTTGGGGCATATGGGATTTAAAACAGGACTTGCTGCTTTCACACTTGACTTCAAAAAAAGGCAGCTGAAAAATTTCCTGTCAAATGAAGATATGGAAAGCATCTTTTCACCTCATCCAAAGCCTTGCTTGTGGGTATTTTTCCAAAAAAGTGGTGAGATTTTGACCCTGAAATTGAAGCCACCTTATATATTAAGATAATAGTGTAAAACAGGTGCAAATTCATTCCATGAAAATTGCTTTTGCTCATCAGTCATGTACCATTTTTCACAAGTAATGCTAATGTCTATTACAAACAAAAACCAAAAGTGAGCAGAAGTAGCTATTCTTATATCAGATAAAACAGAGTTTAAGGCAACAATAGTAAAAAAAAGACAAGGATTTGGTCATAATATAATGATAAAACGATCAATCTAACATGAAGGTATTATCCTAATTATGCGTACCTAACACTGGAGCTCCAAGATTCATTAAACAATTACTACTAGACCCAGGAAATAAGATAAATAGCAACACAATAGTAGTAGAGGACTTTAACACTCTACTGACAGCACCAGACAGACCATTGAGATGGAAAGTCAACAGCAAAGAAACAATGGACTTAAACTGCAATCTGGAACGAGTCAACATAACAGATTTTTAATCAACATTTTACCCAAGAACTGCAGAATATACATTCTTCTCCTCAGCACATGAAACATTACCCAAGATAGAGCATATGATAGGCCCCAAAACAAGTCTCAGTAAGTTTAAAAGAATTAAAATTATATCAACTATCTTCTCAGAACACAGTGGTACAAAACTAGAAATCAGTTCCACAAGGAACCCTTAAAACTATACAAATACATGGAAATTAAATAATCTGCTCCTGAATGATTTTTGGATTCACAATGAAATCAAGATGGAAATTAAAAAATTCTTTACAAAGAATGATAATCATGACACAAGTTATCAAAACCTTTGGGATACAACCAAAGCAATGCTAAGAGGAAAGTTTATAGCACTAAATGCCTACATAAAAAAGTGTGAAAGCCAATAATGAGTTCTGAAATTGAGGCACTAATAAATAGCCTACCAACCAAAAAAAAAAAAAAAAGAAAAAAAAGCGCAGTACCAGAGAAATTAACAACCACACAACTAGATTCTACCAGATCTACGAAAAAGAACTGGTACCATTTCTACTGAAATTATTCGTAAAAATTGAGGAGGAGGGACTCCTCCCTAACTCATTCTATGAGGCCAGAATTATCCTGATACCAAAACCTTGCAGAGGTGCAACAAATAAAGGCCAATATCCTTGATAACTTTTGATGCAAAAATTCTGAACAAAATACTGGCAAACTGAATTCAGCAGCAGCACATCAAAAAGCTTAACCACCACAATCAACTAGGCTTCATCCCCAGGATGCAAGGTTTGGTTCATCATACTCAAATCAATAAATGTGATTCATCACATAAACAGAACTAAAGACAAAAACCATATTATCTCAATAAATGCAGAAAAGGCTTTTGATAATTTCAACATCCATTCATATTAAAGACTCTCCATAAGTTAGGTATTAAGGGAACATACCTCAAAATAATAAGAGCCATCTATGACAAATCCACAGCTGACATTATACTAAATGGGCAAAAGCTGGAAGCATTCTTCTTGAAAACCAGCACAAGATAGGGATACCCTCTCTTAACACTCCTATTCAAAATAGTGTTGGAAGTTCTGGCCAGGAAAATAAGACAAGAGAAAGAAATAAAGGGCGTTCAAATAGGAAGAAAAGAAGTCTAACTATCCTTATTTGCAGATGACATGGTCCTATATCTAGAAAACCCCATAGGTTCAGCCCAAAAGCTTCTTACACTGATAAGCATCTTCAGCAAAGTCTCAGGATACAAAATCATTGTGCAAAATTTATGCATTTCTATATACGAATGACAGTCAAGCCAAGAGCAAAATCAGAAACAAACTCCTATTCACAACTGCCACAAAAAGATTAAAATGCCTGGGAATACAGCTAACTAGGGAAGTGAAAGATCTCTACAAGGAGAACTACACACCACTGCTCAAAGATATCAGAGATGGTCTGGGCATGGTGGCTCATGCCTGTAATCCCAGCACTTTGGGAGGCCAAGGCAGGCAGATTATCTGAGGTCAGGAGTTTGAGACCAGCCTGGCCAACATGGCGAAACCCCATCTCTGCTAAAAGTTCAAAAATTTGTCAGGGGTGGTGGTGCACGCCTATAATCCCAGCTACTTGGGAGGCTGAGGCAGGAGAATTGCTTGGAACCAGGAGGCAGAAGTTGCAATGAGCCAGGAGATGGTGCCACTGCTCTCCGGCCTAGGCAACAGAGTGAGACTCTGTCTCCAAATCAAAGATGACACAAACAAATGGACAAACATTCCATGCTCATGGATAGGAAGAATCAATATCATTAAAATGGCCATACACTGAACTAGAGAAAACTAGAAGTCTGTATGAAACCAAAAAAGGGCCTGAATAGACAAGGCAATTGTAAACAAAAAGAACAGAGCTGGAGGCATCACACTACCTGACTTCAAACTATACTACAAGTTTACAGTAACCAAAACAGCAGGGTACTGGTACAAGAATGGACATATAGACCAACAGAACAGAATAGAGACCCCAGAAATAAGACCATAGACCTACAGCTATCTGATCTTTGACAAACCTGACAGACAATGGGGAAAGGCTCCCTGTTTAATAAATGTTGCAGGGATAACTGGTTAGCTATATGCAGAAGATTGAAATGACTCCATTCTTTGCACCATATATAAAAGTTAATTTAAGATGTATTAGAGACTTAAATGTAAAACCCAAAACTATAAAAACCCTGGAAGACAACCCAGGCAATATTATTCAGGACATAGGAATGGGCAAAGTTTTCATGATGGAGACACCAAAAGCAATCACAACAAAAGCAAAAATTGACAAATGGGATCTAATTAAACTAAAGAGCTCTGCACAACAAAAGAAACTATTAACAGAAGTAAACAGACAACCTACAGAATGGGAGAAAATTCTGGCAAACTATGCATCCAACAAAGATCTAGCATCCATCATCTATAAGGAACTTAAACTTACAAAAAAAAATTAAAAAGTAGGCAAAGGACATGGACAGACACTTTCCAAAAGAAGACATACATGCAGCCAACAATCATGTGATCATTAGAGAAATGCAAATCAAAGCCACAATGAGATACCATCTCATGCCAGTCAGAATGGCGATTATTAAAAAGTCAAGCAACAACAGGTGCTGGTGAGGCTGTGGAGAAATAGGAACACTTTTACACTGTTGGTGGGAATGTAAATTAGTTCAACCATTGTGGAAGACAGTGTGGCAATTCCTCAAGGACCTAGAACCAGAAATACCATTTGACCCAGCAATCCCATTACTGAGTGTATACCCAAAGGAATATAAATCATTCTATTACAAACAAATATGCATGTGTATGTTCACTGCAGCATTTTTCACAATAGCAAAGATATGGAGTCAATTCAAATGCCCATCAGTGATAGACTGGATAAAGAAAATGTGGCACATATACACCATGGAATATCATGCAGCCAAAAGGGAATGAGATCATGCCCTTTGCAGGGATGTGGATAGAGAGGGAGGCTGTTCTCCTTAGCAAAGTAACACAAGAACAGAAAACTACTGCATGTTCCCCCTTTTAAGTGGGAGCTAAATGGTGAGAATACATGGACATGTTGGAGGGAACAACACCCACTGGGACCTTTTGGAGAATGGAGGGTGGGAGAAGGGAGAGGATCAAGAGAAACAACGAATGGGTACCAGGCTTAATTCCTGGTTGATGAAATAATCTGTACAACAAACCCCCATGACACAAGTTTACTTATGTAACAAACCTGCACTTGCACCCCTGAACTTAAAATAAAAGTTAAAAAAAGTCTGAAAGATCACAGATTAACAAGCTAATCTTACGTCTCAAGGAGCCAGGGAAACAAGAACAAACTAAACCTAAAGGTAGCAGAAGAAAAGAAATAACAAATATTAGAGCAGAACTAAATGAAATTAATACAAACAAAGAAATAATGAAAAAGATTTTATAAATAATGAAACAAAAAGTGGTTATTTAAAAAGATAAACAAAACTGACAGGCCATTAGTTAGATTAACCAAGAAAAGAAGAGAGAAGATACAAATAAGCTCACTTGGAAATGAAACTGGAGACATTATAACCAACAACCACAGAAATACAAAAGATCATTTAAGACTACTATGAACACCTATATATATTACACACAAACCAGAAAACCTAGAGGAAATGGATAAATTCCTGGAAACATACAACCCTCCTAGATTAAATGGAAACATACAACCCTTCTAGATTAAATCAGGAAGAAATAGAAACCCTGAACAGACCAGTCAAAAGCAGTAAGATTAAATCAGTAATTTTAAAAAATGCCAACAATAACAAAAAGTCCAGAGCCTGATGGATTCACAGCTGAATTCTACCAGACATTCGAGGAAGAATTGGTATCAGTCCTACTGAAATCATTCCAGAACACTGAAAAAGAGGAAATTCTTTGTAAATCATTCTACAAAGCCACTATCATCCTGATATGAAAACCAGGAAAAGACACAAGAAAGAAAGAAAAGAACAGACCAATATTCCTGGTGAACAAAGATGCAGAAATCCTCAACAAAATACTAGCTAGCCTAATCCAACAGTATATCAGAAAGATAATAACCCATGATCAAGTGGGTTTCATCCCAGGGATGCAGGGATGGTTTAACATATGCAAGTCAATAAATGTGATACACCACATAAACAGAATTAAAAACAACCATATGATCATCTGTATAGATGGAGAAAACGCATTCAATAAAATCTAGCATTCCTTTATGATAAAAACCTTCAACAAAGTAGGCACAGAAGGGACTTACCTCAAAATAGCAAAAGCCATATATGAGAAACCCACAGCCAACATCATACTGAATGGGGAAAGGTTGAAAGCATTCCGCCTGAGAACTGGAACAAGACAAGGATGACCACTTTCACCACTTCTATTCAACATAGTACTGGAAATCCTATCCAGAGCAATCAGGCAAGAGAAATAAATAAATAAAGGTATCCAAATTTAAAAAAAGAGGAAATTGAACTGTTTCTGTTTGCTGATGATACAATCATATACGTAGAAAACCCTAAAGACTCCTCCAAAGGACTCCTAGATTTGATAAACAAATTCAGTGAAGTCTCGGGTTACAAAATCAATGTACACAAATCAGTAGCACTGCGATGCACTAATATCAACCAAGCTGAGAATTGAATCAAGAACTCAATCCCTTTTACAACAGCTGCAAAAAAAAAAAAAAAAAAAATTAAAAAAAAATAAGCTCCCAGGAGCAGACCTAACCAAGAAGGTGAAAGATCTCTACAAGGAGAACTACCAAACACTGGTGAAAAAAATCACAGAAGATACAAACAAATGGAAACACATCCCATGCTAATGGATTAGAAGAATCAATATTGTGAAAATGACCATACTTTCCAAAGCAATCTACAGATTCACTGCAATTACTATCAAAATACCAACATCATTTTTCACAGAATTAGAAAAAACAATTCTAAAAATTATATGTAGTCCAAAAAGAGCCCCAACAGCCCAAGAAATCCTAAGTTTAAAAAAAAAAAACCTGGGGACATCACATTACCAGACTTCAAATTATACTACAAGGCTATAGTTACCAAAACAACATGGTACTGGTAAAAAAAAGAAAAAAAAAGTAGGCACATAGACCAATGGAACAGAATAGAGAACCCAGAAATAAAGCAAAATACATACAGCCAACTGTTCTTTGACAAAGCATACAGAAACATAAATTGGGGAAAGGGTACCCATTAATAAATGGTGCTGGGAAAAGTAGCCACGTGTAGAATGAAACTGGATCCCTATCTCTCATTTTATACAAAAATCAATTCAAGATGGATCAAAGGCTTAAATCTAAGACTGGAAACCATAAAAAATTCAGACGATAACTTTGGACTTTGGCCTAGGCAAAGAATTCACGATTAAAAGGCCCAAAACAAATGAAACAAAAACAAAAATAAACAAATGAAAACTAATTAAATTAAAAAGCTTCTGCCCAGCAAAAGAAATAATTATCACAGTAAACAGGCAACTCACAGAATGGAAGAAACTATCACGAGAACAGCATGGGAAAGACCTGCCCCTGTGATTCAATTACCTCCCACCAGTTCCCTCCCACAACATGTGGGAATTCAAGATGAGATTTGGGTAAGGGCAGAGCCAGACTATATCATTCCAAACCTGGCCCCTCCCAAATCTCAGGTCCTCACATTTCAAAACCACTCATGCCTTCCCAACAGTCCCCCAAAGTCTTAACTCACTTCAGCATTAACCCAAAAGTCCACAGTCCAAAATCTTACCTGAGACAAAGCAAGTCCCTTCTGCCTATAAGCCTGTAAAATCAAAAGCAAGTTAGTTACCTCCTTGATACAGTGGGGGTACAGGCATCGGAATAAATACACCTATTCAAAATGGGAGAAATTGGCCGAAATGAAGGGGTTAAAGGGCCCATGTAAATCTGAAATTCAGTGGGACAGTCAAATCTTAAAGCTCCAAAATAATCTCTTTGACTCCATGTCTCACATCCAGGCCATGCTAATGCAAGAGGTGGGTTCCTATGGTCTTGGGCAGCTCCAACACTATGGCTTTGCAGGGTATAGCCTCCCTCCCAGCTGCTTTCACAGGCTGGCATTGAGTATCTGGGGCTTTTCCAGACACACAGTGCAAGCTGTCAGTGGATCTACCATTCTGGGGTCTGGAGGACAGAGGCCCTCTTCTCATACCTCCACTAGGCAGTGCCCCAGTGGGGACTCTGCTGGGGGGCTTTAATCCCACATTTCCTTTCCGCACTGCCGTAGCAGAGGTTCTTCATTAGGGCCCCACCCCTGCAGCAAATTTCTGCCTGCCCATCCAGATATTTCCATACATCCTCTGAAATCCAGGCAGAGATTCCCAATCCTCAATTCTTGACTTCTGTGTACCTGCAGACCCAACACTATGTGGAAGCTGCCAAGGCTTGGGGCTTGCACTCACTGAAGCCATTGTCTGAGCTATACCTTGGATCCTCTCAGCCATGGCTAGAGTGGCTGGGATGTTGGTCACCAAGTTCCTAGGCTGCACACAGTAGGGGGGCCTTGGGCCTGGCCACAAAAACCATTTTTTCCTCCTAGGCCTCCAGGCCTGTGATGAGAGGGGCTGCCACAAAGGTCTCTGACATGCCCTGGAGATATTTTCCCCATTGTCTTGGTGTTTAACATTCAGCTCCTCGTTACTTATGCAAATTTCTGCAGCAGGCTTGAATTTCTTCTCAGAAAATGGGATTTTCTTTTCTATCACATTGCCAGGCTGCAAATTTTCTGAATTTTTATGCTTGGTTTCCCTTTTAAAACTGAATATCTTTAACATCACCCAAGTCACCTCTTGAATGCTTTGTTGCTTAAATTTCTTCTGCCAGATAACCTAAATAATCTTTCTCAAGTTCAAAGTTCCACAAATCTGTAGGGCAGGGGCAAAATGCCACCAGTCTCTTTGCTAAAACATAGCAAGAGTCACCTTCTCCAGTTTCCAACAAGTTCCTCATCTCCATCTGAGACCACCTCAGCCTGGATTTCATTGTCTATGTCATTATCAGCATTTTGGTTGAAGCCATTCAACAAGTCTCTAGGAAGTTCCAAACTTTCCCACATTTTTCTGTCTTCTTCTGAGGCCTTCAAACTGTTCCAACCTCTGCCTGTTACCTAATTCCTAAGTTGCTTCCACATTTTCAGGTATCTGTTCAGCAGTGCCCCACTCCACTACTACCAATGTACTGTATTAGTCTGTTTTCACACTGCTAATAAAGACATATTGGAGACTGGGTAATTTATAAAGGATAGAGGTTTAATGGACTCACAGTTCCACATGCCTGGGGAGGCCTCACAATCATTATGGAAGGCAAGGAGGAGCAAAGTCATGTCTTACATGGATGGCAACGTCCAAGAGAAGAGAACTTGTGCATGGAAACTCCCCTTTATAAAACCATCAGATCTCATGAGACGTATTCACTATCACAAGAACAGCGTGGGAAAGACCTGCCCCCATGATTCAATTACCTCCCACCAATCCCTCCCATGACACGTGGGAATTATGGGAGCTACACTTCAAGATAAGATTTGGGTGAGGCACAGCCAAACCATATCAACTAGTATCCAGAATCTACAAGGAACTCAAATAAATCAAGAAAAAATCACATCAAAAGTGGACAAGTTACACCAATAGACATTTCTCAAAAGATATACAAATGGCCAAGAATCATATGAAGAAAAAGCTCAACATCACTAATTATCAAGGAAATGCAGATAAAAACCATAATGAGATACCAGCTTTCTCCTGCAAGAATGGTGATTATTAAAAAGTCAAAATCAATAGATGTCACTCAGAGTAAAGAAGTGGCTATGAAAGGGGCATTCCTTGAAAACATTGTAAGGCAAATAAACAACTGCTGCCTGGGGCAAAAGATTACAGTTGAGGCAACAGCCTGGGATGAAAAGCCAGAGGGAGAGTTGCTTTGGTAAATTAGGGAATTGAAGGGTGCCTACCTATACTGGGAAATTTAGAATGCCATGTGTATGCCCAGGGAAGGGTGCATGCTAGGAAAGGACCAGAGAAGACCCAGAGTTTTCACCTTTGGCTGATCTTTAGGCTCAGTACAAGCACAGAGTTCAGGTTAACACAGAGTTGTAAACAGCCTAAGTATTGAAAGAGCTCCTCAATCTCAAAACAATTTGCAAAGACTGGGAAAGTTTGTTTTTTTCTTTTCTTGGCTCCAGGCATTGAAGGCAATGTCTGTCAACACTAGTCAATGACAAGCTAAAGGAACAAAGAACTCAGAGCACACACTCCAAAAATACAGACTTTACAAAAATAGTTTAGAAAAGTAAACAAACCACTACAATCCGCAGCAAGCTGAAACAGAATAAAAAACAATGATGAGGGGGAAGAATCTGATTTCCAGAGTTACCATATTATGTTAAATATGTCCAGTTTTCAGCAAAAATTATGAAGTATGCAAGGAAAAAAGAATGTATGACCTATTCACAGATTAACAGAAACTGTGTACTTTTAAGTGGCTAATGTTTTTTTCTTCAACTTTTAAGTTCTGGGGTGCATGTGCAGGATGTGCAGGTTTGTTACGTAGGTAAATGTGTGCCATGGTGGTTTGCTGCACTGATCATTCCATCACCCAGGTATTAAGCCCAGTATCCATTGGCTATTCTTCCTGATGCTCTCCCTCTCTGTGCCCACTCTGCCTCGACAGGTCTCAGTGTGTGTTGCTCCCCACCATGTGTCCATGTGTCCTCATAATTCAGTTCCCACTTATAAGTGAGAATATGTGGTGTTTGATTTTCTGTTCCTGTGTTAATTTGCTGAGGATGACAGCTTCTAACTCTATCCATGTCCCTGCAAAGAACATGATCTTGTTCCTTTCCATGGCTGCATAGTATTCCATGGTGTGTATGTACCACATTTTCTTTATCCAGTCTATCATTGATGAGGATTAAATGGTTAATTTTATGTTATGTGGATTTCACCTCTATTAAAAAAGCATTGGATCCTAAATTTCAGCCCCCACCCCAAAAAAAAGTAGCAGAAAATTTGATTTGAGTGATCTTGATTAGCAGTATAATTAAAATTAGGCTACTCTGGTAAAGTACATGTATTAGGTAAAGGGTACATGGGAACTGTCTGTTATTATTTCTTTTCTTGATTGATACTTAATAAATGTACATATTTATAGGGTACAGGTGTTATTTTGATACATGCATACAATGTGTAATGATCATATCTGGGTATTTAGGATATCCATCACCTCAAAGACATCATTTCTTTGTATTGGGAAAATTTCATATCTTCTCTTCCAGCTATTTTGAAATATACTATAAATTGTTAACTATAGTCATCCTACTTTGTTATCAGACACTAGAACTTCTTCCTTCTAGATAACTATATGTTTATACCCATTAACCATCCTCCTCATTGAATCTATAATTATGTAAAAATAAAAAAGTTTAATTAAAATATATCAAGAGTTTGTTGAAAAGCTGAGAGGTGGCTTAAACTTTGGGATATACCCAGTAGACACTTAGGATTTAATATATTTATCTGTTTTCTACTTATTTAGTATACATACAGGACTTAATATGTATTAGGCACAGTCCTAAGTGCTTTACAAAAATTAACTCAGTAAATGAATATTTTTAACAGCCAGTTCCTGGAGCAGTGTCTCTAGTAGTTGGAACACGTGTGGCACTTAGTAAACACTAAATAGATATTGTTTAATGATTAGATGGTAATATTTTCAAAGTTGCTTTTACTGCCTTCATGTCTTGATTTCTACTTCTGGATTCTTTCTTCATTCCTGATTTCTGCTATCTAAATATCTCTAGATTTTAAGATATTTCATGTCTTTGTTTGGGCTCTCCTGAAAGCAGAGCATAGGATTAGAAGTTGGGAAGTTAGGAGCATATACTTTCATTAGGAGGGTAACCCAGGAACCAGTAGTGAAGAAGCTTAGAATGAGATAGGGAAAGAGAAGAAGCCAATATTAGGATGGGTCATTACAATTGCAGTGCTGGTGGTGCAGTTTTGCAAGATCCTCTGAGAAATCCACAGAATGCCTATCAGGACTGTTTGTCTAAAGGACTAGGGGTTGGGGCATTTATCTGCCAGTTCCTATTCCTGCTGAGTGATTGTGTCTCTGTGCCTTTAACTCCCCCATGCTCTTAGGCTGTGCTTTTGCAGGACTGAGCAAGTTCCTTGGCCTTGGAAAGGCCTTAATGTAGAAAAGCAGAGACAAAAATGCACAAGCTTAAGATGGGATGTTGGCATTTTGCATAGACCAGTTCACTCCTACTGTAGCTGGGATCAGAGATGGGCTGTAGGGATGAAAAGTGGAAGAGCAAAAAGTATCTACCATAACTGATGAATTTAATTTTTAATTTAGTAAATGATTTTTAAATGACGATCAATGGAAATATACATTAAATGCACAATATAGCTATTACAAATGGAGGCATTAAATAGCTACTTATCAGTGTTCATTTTCAGAAAAGAGATCATTGCCTCAATGGATTGTGGAAATATTTACGATGATAGACACAATCTGTACAAACTGTCTACTCTTAGGTCATGAAAACCTTGTGCTGCTTGCTGTCCTGCCACCCACTCCCTCATACTCAAGCTTTTCAGTTTATGGTTCACTCTTCTCAAGTGTCTGTGTTTACCGAACAGCAATTCAAACATTCCCATAAATGGTTTTGCTCTAGAAAAGTGCGTTTCTTTCATCATCCTCAGTGGTGAGTATTGCAATTGCCTGAAGTTTAACGGGAAGGGTTTTGACTGGTTTATACTCTGATATCATCGACAGGCCTGTGACCCACCTGGTGTTTGTAATACAGCATTTTCTCAGATATCAGTCATAGGATATGGAGTTATTAAAAGAAAATGAACGCACATCTTTGTCAAGGGGCATCAATGCAAATGTAAAGCTGTGTTTATTTTTAAAACATAAGCCATATTTCATTTATTTTTAATCACAGAGTACTGTTCTCTGAATGCAAGGAGTAGAAAGCAATAAATTCACCCATAGGCAAGTCCCTGAGGATGTCTCTCATCTTTTTTACTAATCTCCCAAATTTCAGAGGGGTAACATGATTGGAAATACGGAGGAATAGGTAATGACACTTCATCTGGGGGTAAATGTCTCATGGATTACAGCAATGGGTGAGTGAATTATCGTAGCTGAAGATAGTAATCATGGTCATTTGGGGAGAGGATCTAGCCATTCTGAGAGTAAAGTAATTTGTGATATGGCATGCTCACAGGTGTTGGGGCTTTATCTGCTGAGTGGGGTAGAGGATTTAGGCATTCGGTTATCTCCTTGTTTTGGGAGCCTCTGCAGATTTAGTACCTATGAGCTGCGGACACTGGAAGGGTGGCTGGAGATGGAGAGATGTCTTGTTTCCAGGAGTCAGAATAGGTTTGGTTTGCAGTATTTCAAGTGGAGCAGGCCCTCTAGGGATGTGAGAGCAGCATGCCACTTAGTATGAGTCTAAGGGAATTCAGAACATTTTCTTGACTAGTTATAAGAAAACTTGGCCATAGGGACACAGAAACATTGCACTCCATCCTTAGAGGATAAAGGAAAAGAGATAACCAGTTGGCAATGTCTGCTTTCTCAAACCAAGATGGCAGAATCATATCGTGCTTCTTAAATTTGAAATGTCAGCCCTAGCTTGTCTCAGGAGATGGCTGAAGCCATTGAGTCTCACCCTGATTAACTCAGATTACAGTTGGCCCTTCCTCATCCCTCAGCTCCTCTCTGTTGCTTCTTTGCTTAAAGTAAGGTTTGGTGATTTCACCTGTGACCTGAAATAGTCATTATTTCCCTTATATCTTAGAGACCACGGGCCCTAATTTGTTGTGTGTGTGTTTTTAATAAAAATAACATCCCACAGTATCATCTTCTAGATTGAATTTTCTTACCCTAATACACATATTTTACTGCTTTCATTCTCTGTAAAATTTTGCATTCAAGCACTAAAGTGATCCAGGTGTGAGAATACTATTTTCTAGAAAGGAGTAACAAGTAACAATATTGTTCAGGTGCTTAGATTTACTTTCTTCCAATTCAACCCTGTCCCATTAAGAATGTCATCTAGGATAGTTTGTCTTTCAGAGGCACTATTCATGGATGAAACTCCTTCAGAAGCTGAAACATAATAGCCTGTCATTTTGGGACATTGCCTGGCCATTTGGGCCTATCTCACCCTGTAGACATGTCTTTTGGTAATGAATCTTCATTTTAAGAGCCCAAAGGCAGGGATATTTCCATAAAGTATTCCAGTACACAGTGAACAATGACATACTTCTTTTGAAGAACTTAGTGTATTTTTTAGTTCACTTTTAACTAAGATGTTGAAGAAAATGTGCAGTACATGGTAAATTATCCTAGACTGGATCACCAAAATATACTTTTATTTATTTCTCCATCCTGACACACTATATTTTTATTACACATATAATAATTATGGCAGCAATAGTAGTTAATACTTATTGAGTGCTTATTCCTTTTCAGGTCCTATGTCGAATACCTCCTTACAGTATCTCATGTAATTATCAAAATACTCCCATGAGTTAGATGATGATTATTCCCATCTTTAACCTAAGATTTGCTTTCTTTCCTATTGTCACTCAGCTAGTAAGATGGTAGAATTTGAACTCAGGTTTGACTCTAAAGCCAGTTTTTACATACTAATTGGGAAGGAATACATTATAGCATGGTGATTAATTAAATTCACACGAGAAAACATTTATTGCAAGTCCGTCATATGTTTTCACTGTGGGAGATGCTCGTGAGCTGAGAAAAAATACAGGGAGTGTGATAGATTGCTGGGACTGCCTTAACACAGTGCAACAGATGGGGTGGCTTAAACAACAGAAATTTATTTTCTCACGGTCCTGGAGGCTAGAAGTCTAAAATCAAGGTATCAGCAGGATTGGTTCCTTCTGAGGGCTGTGAGGGAAGGATCTGTTCTAGGCCTCCCTCCTTGGCTTGTAGATGGCTTCCTTCTGCCTTGTCTTCACATCATTTTCCCTTGGTACACATCTGTGCCGAAATTTCCTCTTCTTATAAAGACATTAGTCATATTGGTTTAGGCACCACCCTAAAGACCTCATTTTACCTTAATTACTTTGGTACGAATCTGTCTCCAAATAGTCACATTCTGAGGTACTGGGGGTGGGGACTTGAACGTGAATTTTTAGGAGGACATGTTTCAGCTTATAATAGGCTTCTTACCTCAAAGAGCTACCAGCCTATCAAGATATCTTGATATAAAGGAAAGTTGGATGGAATAATATTCGAATGGAAATAATGAAGTTGTGTCATGGCTGTAGAGAAATGAGTGATTAATTTTCACTGGAGGTAACAGGGAAGACTTCAATGAGGCAAGCGGCATTAAAGCTGGGCTCTGATTATTATGTTAAAATGTAAAAGTGTGAGAATGGACAGGAGAAGACAGGATTTGTGTGACCTTTGGTGTACAGAATGCTCTAGTGTGGGAGAAACAAAGGGATGAGATGAGAGATGACGTGATGTGCTGGTAAAATGGCTCAGGAGAAAAAAGAGACCTGATTTGTGTCATTTGCCATGGCCTCTGCTCATGACTAATGGCTGCTCTTGGGAGAGGTAACTCCCCAACACATGCTTATATGTGAAGCATGCTCCTGCTCTTGCCCACTGAATCCAAGAAGCCCTGGGCAGAAAGTAAAAAAGGGGCAAGAAGCTGTGAGTGCAAAGTGAGTCAAACCCATATGGAGAGTCCACTCCAGCTGTGCATGGGGGGAGAGCTGAGGCACTAAATCAATATGTCAGGAATCTGACATACTAGGTGAGAGGACACCATTTTAGACAGAGGGCAGAACATGCAATAGGCTGTGGTGGGAGAAAGCATGATACGTTTGGAAAAGAGGCCAATGCCGATAAAGCACAGAGAGCTGGGGAAAAGTGGCCAAATGCAACTTCGGTGTGGGGAAAGGACAAGCCATGTCCCCACATGTTTTTGGTCATTCTAATGTTTTTGGTGTTCATTCTACAACTCAAAGGGCAACCACTGAATTGTTTCAAGTGTGTTATGAACTGCATGAATGAATGCACGCACCTGCGCATGGTATGGCAGGGACAAATTTGCATTTGGAAAGATCACACTGACTGCAGTGTGAGAAAGTGGTTGAAAGGAAGCCAGATAGCCTGTCGTAAGACCAACTGAGGATTGCTGCCATGGAGTAGGGTGGAGGTAGTAGACATGGGTTAGAGAAGTATTTAGGCCATAACTCAGTAGCAATAACTCAATGGGCTATGGGATCTAAGTACCATCCTTAGTAAAAGGCAGCATGTTCCTTAGAGTAAAGGCTGTTCACAGGTCTGATGGAGGGAAAGTAAAAGGAGAGACTGTCATATATTATTGGGTCAGAAAGCAAATATGTGTTGAGCAAATGAGAGAAGTACATCAAAATGACTCAGAAGCCAGTTTGGAGGAGTTCTCATTGGCTAAATGTGAGACAGTCTGAGCATCAAAACCATAAAAACGGTAATGGATTAAAATATGTCTAAGACAGAAGTAGAATCTGTAACTACACAGCTATAAAATAAAGGTCAGTGTGTGGAGGGGGAAACTCTTCTTTACAGAGCATGTCAGCTAATAAGTGGAGAATGTGTGAAATAATTAGAAAATCATTACTTTGCAACACATATGTAATAATTCAGGAAGATTTATCAATGGACACCAAATTCATTGGGTTAACAGAATGGTCTCAAAACATCACTCTACAGGTTATTTAATTGCAAAGAGAAAACAGTAACTTTATTGGAGTGATTTGATGACACTACCTTAACTGAGTGATGAAATTTAGCCTCATTAACATTGGAACAAAGTGACATTATGTACTTCTGGTGATGATACATCTTCTGAGACACACAAAATCACCTAAGTAGTATTTTTGCCAAACATACATAACCTGCATCTAAATGTAAAGATTTGTCTGCTATCAGAGAAATCAAGATTGAGATATAAGACAAATTACCTGGAGTCTTCAAAAATGCCACTGTCACTAAGAACAAAAAAGAGCACACGTGTGTGTGTGCGTGTGTGTGTGTTCTCCATCAAAGGCTAAGAGGATGTGACAACCAAATGAAACGCATAATCCCTTGATTGAATCCTGGATAGGGGAAAAATAGCTATAAAGAGCCTTTATCTAGATGAAGGTTATACAGGAGCTCATTGTATTGTATTTCAAGCAGAAATAACTTTCCAATATAAAATATATCATATGTTATATATGCCATACATGGATATATTATAGAATAATTATAGTCTGTATTCAGAAATGTATTGTCAAAATTGTCCTAATTTGCAGTAGATGTGTTTCAGTATAAGATATAGTTTTTCTCAAAATTCTTTCCTATGATCTCCTTTTAAAAATTTTGTTCCTCTTGCTGTTCAATTCTCTACACTTGTAAATTTTCATCATATCTTGAACACAGTTGTTTGCTTTGATTGATATCAAGCACTGTGCCAGATGCTGAAGACCCGGAGATAAATAAGAAAAAAAGGTTTTCTGCCCCAGAAGAACTGATAGGCTACTAGAGAACAGAAAAAACATAAATTAAAGTCCAGTGTCTTAAGAGCCTTAGGACAACTGGATTTATTTAAGCTGATTCATTATTGTGCACTGCAGTTTAAAATGATGCCTAGAAGTAAGCAGCTAATGTGGGTTTTCTTAGCTTCCTTTTAAAAATACCCATGAAGTCACCATAAAGGAGGAAAACTGACAACATCACTTAAAATTAAGACTTAGGGGAACTATGGATGAGAAGTCAAAGTGTGTGTTTCTGTTTCTGACCCTGTGAGAAGGGAGCTGTGGGTTTGATGATTAAACAAGACAGTGAATGTGAAAGCAACTAGTGAACTACAAGATAAAGAGATATAAAGACCTGAAGGTAGTCTTTCCTATCCAAAGTTGGAAACAGTACTACTATCATTTCTTGGGAGGAGCTTGAAGAAGTAAAATAAGTGTTTAGTAGAATGGATATTCACAATAGTGGGTAAGTCCGTGACTATGAACTTCAAGACCTATTTAAGGTTAAGCAAGCCTTCCTATGCCTGGCTACAAGGTATAAGAGAAAATTCTAGCAGTTGCTGACAACAACCAAGATGGCAAAATCAGTTTGAAAAATTTGTGTTACTGATGCAATAATTAAAAAGGAAAGACTGTAGTCTTATACATGAAGCATCTTATACCCATGAACCTCAATGATGGCAGTATCTTCAAGTTACTTGCAGATCTCATCCTTCTTTGCAAAATGATCAATTTATTTGAACCAGATACAACTGATGAAAGAGCCATTAATAAAAAGCTCGCCGCTTTCACTCTTTCTGAAAATTTAAACCTAGTTGATATGATTTAGCTCTGTGTCCCCACCCAAATCTCACCATGAATTATAGTTCCCATGATCCCCAAGTGTCATGGGAGAGACCCTGTGGGAGGTAATTTAATCATGAGGGCAGTTAACCTCATGCTATTGTCATGATAGTGAGTTCTCATGGGATCTGATGGTTGTATAAGGGGCTTTCCCCCTTTTGTTCTGCAATTCTCCTTCCTGCCATCATGTGAAGAAGGACATGTTTGCTTCTGCATCCACCATTCACCATGATTGTAAGTTTCCTGAGGCTTCCCCAGCCCTGTGGAATGGTGAATCAATTAAAACTCTTTCCTTGATAAATTACCCAGTCTTGGGCAGTTCCCTATGGCCATGTGAGAGTAGACTAATACAGTAAATTGGTATTGGGTAGTGTGAAGATACCTGAAAATGTGGAAGTGACTTTGGAACTTGGTAACACGCAGAGGTTGGAACAGTTTAGAGGGCTCAGAAGACAGGAAGATGTGGGAAAGTTTGGAACTTCCTAGAGACTTGTTAAATGGCTTTAACCAAAATTCTGATGGTGATATGGACAATGAAGTCTGGGCTGAGGTGGTCTCAGATGGAGATAAGGGACTTGTTAGGAACTGGAATAAAGGTGACTCTTGGTATGTTTTAGTAAAGAGACTGGCTTTTTTTTTTTTTTTTGGCTCTTCCTTTGCCCAAAGATCTCAAAGATCTGTGGAATTTTGAATTTGAGAGAGATGATTTTGGGTATCTGGCAGAAGAAATTTCTAAGCAGCAAAGTGTCCAAGATGTGACTTGGGTGCTGTTAAAAGCATTCAGTTTTATGTATTCACAAAGTTATGGTTTGGAATTGGAATTTAGGTTTAAAAGGGAAGCAAAGTTAGGAAAATTTGCAGCCTGACAATGTGATAGAAGAGAAAAACCCATTTTCTGCGGAGAAATTCAAGCAGTCTGCAGAAATTTGTATAAGTACTGAGGAGCCAAATGTTAATCACCAAAACAATGGGGAAAATGTCTCCAGGGCATGTCAGAGGTTGTCCCAGCAGTCCCTCTCATCACAGGCCCAGAGCCTTAGAAAGAAAAAATGGTTTCATAGGCCAGGACTAGGTCTTTGCTGCTTTGTACAGCCTCAGGACTTGGTGCCCTGTGTCCCAGCCATGACTAAAAGGGGCCATGGTATAGCTCAGGCCATGGCTTCAAAGGGTACAAACCCCAAACCTTGATGGCTTACACATGGTTTTGGGCCTGAGGGTGCACAGAAGTCAAGAATTGAGGTTTGGGAACCTCTAACTAGATTTCAGAGGATGTGTGGAAATGTCTGGATATGCAGGCAGAAGTTTACTGAAGGGGTGAAGGCTTCATGGAGAATCTCTGCTAGGCCAGTGAGAAAGGGAAATGTGGGATCGAAGCCCCTACACAGAGTCCCCACTGGGGCACTGCCTAGTAGAGCTATGAGAAGCGGACCACTGTCTTCCAGACCTCAGAATGGTAGATTCACCGGTAGCTTGCACTGTGAGCCTGGAAAAGCCACAGAGACTCAACGCCAGCCCGTGAAAGCAGTCAGGAGGGGGGCCATACCCTGCAAAGCCATAGAGGTAGAGCTGCCCAAGGCTGTGGCATCCCATATCTTGCATCAGCGTGCCCTGAATATGAGACATGGAGTCAAAGGAGATGATTTTGGAGCTTTAACATTTGGCTTCCCTGCTGGATTTTGAACTTGTATGAGGCCTATGGCCCCTTTGGTTTGGCCAATTTCTCCCATTTGAAACAGGTATAATATGCCTGTACCCCCACTGTATCTAGGAAGTAACTAACTTGCTTTTGATTTTACAGACTCATACGCGGAAGGGGTTTGCCTTGTCTCAGATGAGACTTTGGACTTGGACTTCTGAGTTAACTGAAATGAGTTAAGACTTTAGGGGACTGTTGGAAGGGCATGATTGTGTTTTGAAATGTGAGGACATACAATTTGGGAGGGGCCAGGGGCAGAATAATATGGTTTGGCTCTGTGTCCCCACCCAATCTCACCTTGAATTGTAGTTCATATAATGTCCCCATGTTGTGGGAGACATCTGGTGGGAGGTAATTTAACCATGGGAGAAGTTACCCTCATGCTGTTCTCATGATAGTGAGTTAGTTCCCATGAGATCTGATGGTTTTATAAGGGTCTTTCCCCCCTTTTTCTTGGCACTTCTCCTTCCTGCTGCCATGTGAAGAAGGGTGGATTTGCTTCCTCTTCCACCATGATTGTAAGTTTCCTGAGACCGCCCCAGCTGTGTGGAACTGTAGTCAATTAAACCTCTTTACTTTATAAATTACCCAGTCTTGGGCAGTTCTTTATAGCAGCATGAGAATGGACTAAAACATTAGACCCAAAGTCTGTCTCGACCATTAGTTGTACAGTGGTCAACATCAGTGCACAGAATCTCAAAGAAGGAAAACCTCACTTGGTCTTAGGACTTCTCTGGCAGATCATCTAAGTTGGTCTTTTTGATGATATTGAGATTTCTAGGAATGAAGCTCTGATTGCATTGCTAAATGAAGGTGAGGAACTAGAGATGCTGATGTAGCTTTCTCCTGAGGAATTACTGCTGTAATGGGTGAATCATCATCTGGCTGATGCAGGATGGTGTACCATCAACAACTTCAGCCAAGGCAGTAAGGATTCAAGAGCCTATTTTCATCTGCTTACACAAATTGACCCTAAAGGTGACTGGGAATATGGACTTTTCAGTCCATCTTCAGGATTTCATAAGAAAAATGATTTGAAGTGTGCTGGACTTATGCTTCAAGAAGTAGATAAACTTGGCTGCAGTTTGTTACTCCTGCAGATGTGGTTTCAGGCCATCCTAAACTTAATTTAGCTTTCATAGTTAATCTGTTTAATATCTATCCATGCCTACACAAGTTAGATAATAATGACATCAATATAAACTTATTGGAGGGAGAGAGCAAAGAAGAGAGGACATTTCAGAACTGGTGCATTCCTTAGGAATCAACCCATATATTAATCATTTGTAGTTACCTTGCAGATGCTTTAGCAATCTTTCAGCTCTATGATACAATCTGAGTGTCAGTCAACTGGAGCCATGTCAACAAACCTCCTTATCCTGCCCTTGGAGGGAACATAAACATTGATAACTAACTATACAGTGGAACTTGGGAAGAATAAGGCCAAATTCTTCTTCGTTGGCATTGCTGGGCAGGACCTAAATGAAGGGAATTCAACATTTATTCTGGCATTGGTTATGGCAGCTGATGAGAGGGTACACACTGAATATGAACAAAACCAAATTCTCCTTCGTTGGCATTGCTTGGCAGGACCTAAATGAAGAGAATTCAACATTTATTCTGGCATTGGTTATGGCAGCTGATGAGAAGGTACACATTGAATATGTTATCAGATCTTGGAAAGGTTGAAAGTGCACTTTTAAAAGTACAAATAAAAATACTTTTATTTCCAGCTTCAAGATATGCCACTTCAGTTGGTTGTGAGATCAGTGCCCAGATATATGCATTGCGTGTTGACCTTGTGGAAGCGAAACCAAAAATGGTTATGTCAGTGTTTTCTTGTTTAATGGGAAAAGGACTGAACAGAATAAAATAATGAAACATTTAATATTTTTTTCTGCCACATTAAATACATTGGACGCCCCACAGTTTAAACAATTTTGAAATGCAGTGGGTATACAACTAGGGATTATTTGTGTGTTCAAAATAGTTATATATTCATTAATGAATTCAATATCCTGTTCATACTAGTTAGAACGTGTCAACCTTTTTGGATAACAGTTAATTCACCAATTGATACTGATAATAAAATATGTTCATTATCAAGCTCATACTTGATGATTAAATTATTTCTGTTTCTTGAAAATCTTATTAAAACAAGACAAATTCATTCTATTTCATGGTTCAAAAAGATGAACACAAAAAAGATTTTACAGGTTCTGCTGCAAAATATGTTTTGATTTTTTTGTTTTACATAATTTTGATCATAAATGCATTTGAACTCATAATTGAGTTTAATCCTTTTATTTTCTTTCTCCAGCTATGTAAAGTGGTCTAAAAACACTTTTCTGTAAGTTTCTATATTGTCTAAAACCTTGAAGTGACATGTATTATTCATTAATAGGAAACTTTTTTATATATGAGGACTAATTATTTAATACACTTCAAAATTCACTCTCTTAAAAAAAAGACTTAGGGAAAACCTAATGCCAGAATCTGGTTGCAAGTCCCACTGATTCTGAGGGAGGTGATGCTGGACTGAGGAGGACACACACAGGCATGGCTTCTGGAGCAGAGGCTGCTGGAGGAATGCATGAAGACACTTTTTACCCCTCCAATTGTGTGTCCTGAGTCCTTGATTTGTTCCTGTAAGAAACATGGCAGCTGCCTTCTCTAATAGGCCAGACTACGCTTTCCCTCTTTTTGTCATTCTTTTTCACATCGGCTTTTTATTTTATAGTTAATTATGAAATATTTCAAAATACAGAAAAGTATATACAGAAAAGTGAAGTATAACAGAAATTTATGTACTTACACCTAGATTTTAGAAAGGTATGAAATCATTTAAAAAGTGTTTAGCATGTTTATTGAAAAAAGTTAATAGAAAACAATTAAAACATTTTATTTTCCAGATTCTCATGAAAATTCAATTGTAATTTTTAGGATTTGTGAATATTATTGTTATTATTAATTTTAGGGACCGGGTTTTGGTCTGTTACCCAGGCTGGAGTGCAGTGGAAGCCTCTCATCTCCATAGCATTTACTCTCTCCATTCCTAGAGGTAACCACTAACTAAATTTAGCATCTATTCTTATTTTCTATGTTTTTCAATTTTTGATATTACTTTTAATACATAGGTTTATGTGCACAAAATATATATTATTGCTTCCTGTGTTTCCAAAATAGACATGAATTGAATCATATAGAACTTGCATTCTTCAAAACCTGTTCTTATTCACTCAATATTTTCAATATTTGTGTTTGTCAACCCGTGCAAGTCTTTTTGTCTTTCTACAGATGCATGGGTTTCTCTTCTATTAAAAAGCCATGCTTTGTCTATCTTCTCATCTATTAGGCTCTTGAGAGCTCTTCTTTGTCCTTTCCTGCACTTTTCTACCTGGTAGGGAGGTTGACTTTTTCGGAATATATCACTTGGCTTCCTCTGCTCTTTTCCTTTTGTTTGGATTTGGGAAATGAGGGCATTAGCTGGAGAGCAAAGTGTTGAAACAGAAATCATAGTATTTATTTGCTGTTTATTTCCTTTCAGGCCAGGTGTCAGCTCAGGCCATCTCCTTCCATAGCTACAGCTCTCACTGGGTTGTGGAAACTGCACAACACCTTTTCCTTACCCTTCAGGCTAGTCAAGGTGATGGCTTCCTGTTGCTGTCAGTCCCGCGTGTTTCTTCACCCCTTGTTGGATCCCTAATCATGTTCTTGCCTCTTTCAATAGACTTTTCATGAATTCTTAGCAATAATCCCTTTGAGTGTGTCATCTATTTTTCTGCCAGGACCCTGACTATTGAAACTGGTTACAAATAAGTATTCTAGCAATGACTACAAGTAGGACAGAAAGATGTCTCAGGTGCCAAAGCAAATCTTTATTATTGTGTAGGTATGCGTATATTGTATAATGGGTGCTTTGATTTATATACACCTATTTGCTTTTGTACATCAGCTGTCTATATTATGTCCCTTAATAATATGTAAGCAAAACCTATTTGAAAAAAAATAAACTGCCATGGGACATGAAAAGTAGAAGTGACTAAATTATGCGGCATACCACATTCTTGAAAGGCTAAGCATTATTTAAAAATCAATTTCTAAATTAATTTATAATGCCTATAAAAATCCCATTAGGCTTGAGAGTAATTTTGAAATGTGGTAGTGATTTTAAAGTACTCCTGAAGAATAAACAAGTAAAAATAGCTAATAAAATTTTGAAGTCCATTTGAAGAGAAAGCAAATACGTGTAGTTAATGAAATTTTGTAAATGGATTTAAAATGTGGGAGTATTTGATACATTAGATATTTAACAAAACAATGTGATATTAGCATAAGGATTTAAAGACAAATGGGACAGTAAAGTAACATGAAGGTATTCTTATGTGCATATGTTTGACTTTATTAAAAAATGCATTGCAAGGAACTGGGTAAAAGAGGGAGTCACCCAATGTTTAGGGACAAACGAATAATAATTAGAAAAAATAACATTAAATTCCATACATATTGAAATTTTAAATGTAAAAAAATACCATTAACATTTAGAAGAAAATCTAAGTATATATTTCTGTTATAGAGATGGAGAATGACTTTTGAACTTAGAGCAATGGAAATCATAACAAAAAAGTTTCAAAGAACACATACACTGTTGGTGGGGGTGCAAATTAGTTCAACCATTGTGGAAGACAGTGTGTCAATTCCTGAAAGATTTAAAGTCAGAAATACCATTCAATCCAGCAATCCCATTACTGGGTATATACCCAAAGGACTATTAATCATTCTATTATAAAGATACACACATGCGTATGTTCATTGCAGCTTTATTTACAATAGGAAAGACATGGGATCAATCCAAATGCCCATCAATGATAGACTGGATAAAGAAAATGTGGTACATATACAGCATGGACTACTGTGCAGCCACAATAAAGAATGAGATCATGTCCTTTGCAGGGACACGGATGGAGCTGGAGGCCATTATCCTTAGCAAAGTAACACAGGAACAGAAAACTAAATACCACATGATCTCACTTATAAATGGGAGCTAAATGATGAGGCTACATGGACACACAGAGGGGAACAATAGACACTGGGGCCATTGAAGGGTGGAGAGTGGGAAGAGGGAAAAGGTCAGGGAAAATAATGAATACTAGGCTTAATACCTGGGTGATGAAATAATCGGTAAACAAACCTCTATGACACACATTCTATGTAACAAACCTACACATCCTGCAAATGTACCCCTGAATTAAAAAAAGAAAGTTTTAAACATGTAATAATTTGAAAATTTATTTTAAAATGAATAGATTTGAGTATTATTGTACTGGTATACTCATATACACTAAATGTATATATGACTATACACATTTGGTATGCCGTAAGATAAAGAAATTTGAAAGGTAAATGGAAAGTATTAGAAAATATTTATAATAGAGCCTAATATATAGAGACCTCACACAAATTCACATACACTCAACACAAATTAGCAATAGGGTTACAAAACTACTCAAAATCCCTAGAACAAAGTTTAGATGAGATAGTATGTCATGCTCTATCTTGTCAAAGGTAAAGAGGAAATCAAAATACTTAGTATTTGAGAGGGTTCATAGAAATTTTTACATACTCTTGGTTGGAGTTTAAAATGGATTAACTTTTCTTAAATGTATTTAGACAATTTTTAAAAAGTATATTCCTTTGACACAAAAGTTCCATGTCAAGAAATATAACTTGGAATAGATACATGCAATATGTAAAATGATCTTACAGCACTCTTGCTAAAATTGCTAGTCCTAGGCCTAGGTAGTCAGTGCTAACCTAGTTGTTCAAATTTTACTACCTGCACCTCGGGCCATTGGATGGATCTGGAGAAGCTTGCTACTAAGTTCAAGAGTCACTCCACACTATTTAGTCTCCAGTTGAATCTGACTCTAGTTAATTTCATTATCTCTAATCACTGTTTTAGGTTTCAGAAGTCCAAACTGTAGCTTTGCCGAGAGGAAAGTGGTGCATTTCATTAATAAACAAAAAGAATGGGGATAATTATTCTAAGGAAAATGTGTCAGATTTTTGGTTGAGAAATAAAACAGTTGCAAACTCAAAGTCTAAGTTGACAATTTAAAAAGGCCTATGCCTGGGCCGGGCACGATGGCTCACGCCTGTAATCCCAGCACTTTGGGAGGCCGAGGCGGGCAGATCTCGAGGTCAGGAGATCGAGACCATCCTGGCTAACACTGTGAAACCCCATCTCTACAACAAAATACGAGAAAAATGAGCTGGGTGTGGTGGCAGGTGCCTGTAGTCCCAGCTACTCAGGAGGCTGAGTCAGGAGAATGGCATGTACCCGGGAGGCAGAGCTTGCAGCGAGCTGAGATCGCGCCACTGCACTCTAGCCTGGGTAACAGAGTGAGACTCTGTCTCAAAAAAAAAAAAAAAAAAAAAAAGAAAGGCCTATGCCTGGAATTGTCCATCTCCAGGAATCAACTTTGTTTAGGGACTAAAGAGGAGTAAGATTGATTTGAAAAACCTATTTTAGTTTGATTATCAAAACAGTAAGAGCAGAATCATGGAAACAAAATGAAGGAAGACTATATGGCAGATGTTGGTGCCCACTCTTGTCTTCTAAATACTCGCTATTCCTCTATATTTCTGCAGCCTCCTACTGCAGACCCCTGCCATGCTATCTCTGAGGTCTTCTTTTCTGGTCACGTCCTGCTATAGACTGAAGGTTTATGTTCCTCAAATCCATGGTATCTAGAGGTGGAGTCTGGTTCGTGATTAGGTCATGACAGTAGAGCCCTCATGAATAGAATGAGTGTCCTTACAATAATCACCTCCTTATAAAAGAGACCTCAGGGAGCTCTCTTGCTGCTTCTGCCATGTGAGGCTGGGAAGACCACCGTCTATGGACCAGGAAGTGGGCTCTCCCTCACCAGACACTGAATCTACTGGTGACTTGATCTTGGGCTTCTTAGCCTCCAGAACTGTGAGAAATAAATTTCTATTGACTGTAAGTCACCCAGTTTATGGTATTTTGTTATAGCAGCCCAAGTGGACCAAGACACATGCTTAGCCTTTGCCCAGAAAAAGGTGGAATTACCCAGGAAATAACACCCGGGGGCAGTCTTCAGGCAAGGACAGACAAGAGCTGGTGGCTAAACCACCAGCTTCCTTCCCCCTAAAATAACTGTGAGACATACATAGACCTAATGATTTCCTCAGTGGGATGGAGCCCACATCAGTAACTTCCTTGTTAACACACACTATTGGTGTCATTTCTTTGCTAGTCTCACTTCTCCACTCCCTTATTAGTGCTTCCTGGGATCACTTCCAAAATAAAAAGTTTTCACTCAAATCCTTATATCCAGTTTTATTTCAGGAGTAGCTCAATGGAAGACAATAGTTCTAAGGTATATTCCAAAGCAGAGCCTCAGGATGGGATTGTGGAATTGAAACAGTCACTGTCCAAATAGCAATAAGTACCTCATTGCTGGCAGTAAATGTGAGGTGGGGGAACACCTGGAATACTGTAACATCAATATTGCTAAAGCTCCCACTTGTGGAAAAATTGGGAATGAACACAGTAGACAGTAATGCACTGGCTTACTTATGCAATATCTCTAGAGCTTGGAAGAGACTGGAACAACAGTATTTATAACGACTGTGGGGTAACTCTCAACCGATGATGGACAGGAGTTGGAGGATAAATTCTCACCTTCCTCATTCTTCAGTGGGACATCCACCCAAAGCACCCATTAGATTGAGCCCCAGATGCCCACAGAGCCTATCTGCTCATAATTGAACCAGGTAGTGGCTCCCTCCTCTTCCCTGTCTCATTCCCCACTCCCCTACTGGTGCTTCCTGGGGCAACACCTGCCAAATAAACTGCACTTGCCTTGCCTCAAGGTCTGCTTCTGAGGGAACCTAAGAAAGATAGCTTGGATAAATTGGAGAAATGCAGTATTTCCTTAGAATAAAGGTTAGACCTTAGAGGACAGACTTGACAGATATGACAAGGAAATAAAAACTTGAAGACGAAATAAATTAAAAAAGGAAAAAGATTTACTCTGCCTACCTGCTCTTTAAAATGGTATTATAAACTAGATAAATATTTGAATTTTTAACTAGATCAGATGGAGTGTAGCTGTAAAATCAGAGAAAGGGGGCGTAATCCTAATGAGCAGACTGGAAAGACTGTTCCATACATGGTCAGAATCCAGAAATCTATCAAGGGATTGCCACTCAAAGCTGTGAGTAGAAAGTCTTTAGGAAGAGAAATTGAACAACTACCCCTGTAAATGTCAGATAGCTGTACAAAATAAATTACACATGTAGAGATTTTGAAGAGATAATCAGGAAGATTAGAGAAAAATACTCAAAAAAATTTCTGGTAGGTGTAAAAGTGGTGCATTAATTATAGGTGGGGATGCAGCTATTCCTAGTCTTCTGAGGGATCATTCTTGAGAAATTTATAGTATTATAACTTTATAGAAAGGAAGAGTCAAGATGAATTGGGTAAGAAGTGGTGTTTAATAACAGCTTAAGTCCAGACTAGGATTACATGTTGGTTTGTTGGGTGCATTTATTTTTCAAATCAGAGTTAAATCAGGCAGCATCTGAACTTCTTTATTTCTTCTTTCACCCTGAAAAGCAAAATCTAAAGGAGGTATTTTGGAAAGATGGAAGTTTGGCTAAGCAAAAATAAAAGCAAAGAAGACACTCATCAACAGGAAATGGTGCTAGCCATCGATGTACAGAGAGGTAAAAGTCCAACTGCTGCAAGTTCAGCTGAGCCAGCCTCCATGATCAGAGCAGAAAGAAATGGTGCCAAGGCCTGGAACATTCAGTATCTGAGGAAAAAGACAAAGCAGCACCAGCTAGCAGTATGGATCCTCACCAGGCCCTAGAGGCAGTATCAGTTGTAGGAATTTGCAGAAAAAGCATCGTTTTCCAGTTGAGACATGTGTGACAACTAGGATCAGATTTTCCCTAGTGAGAGGGTTTCCCAGTCCTCCTCAGTGCCTCACCAGGCCCTCTGGCACAGGAGGGAAAAATGCCTATGGACGGGACACCCAAGAGCTTCTGCTGCCAGATAGATCCCCCACTCAGCTTCTAGTTCCCATTTGATTCCTTTAATTTCTGGAATCCCAGGGACAAGGCCAGAGTTTTGAATATGTATAATGGAAGCAAAAAATTACTTCATGTGAGATAACTGGGTCTGACTCAAGGCAAGTTTCTAAATATATCAAGAAGTGAAGATGGTCTCAATGTCATTCTCTGAGAGAGAGACAAGTTGCCCAGGTAAGTCTCCCTTCTAGGTGCAGTAAATGCACAATGCCAAGACTCACCTTTACAATTGGTAAAATTTCTCATCAGGTTCCCAAGTCACAGAATCAAGATTTCATATTGTCAAGGCTGAAAAAAGAGAACATCTTTGCCCATGTTTTCCCCTCAGGTACCACTAAGCTTCTGCTTCAGTCTCTGGTGTTCTGAGAACCTAATTTTGCATGGAATAACTGAGAGGTGAGGGCTGAAATCCACGTTTCCTCAGTTTGGTAGGGTGAAACAGTATGTGATAATCCCATATGAATTATTAACATTTTGGATCCTTTTAAAATTGAGGCATGGAAGAGGCGAGCATTGAGAATGCTGTAACTCAGGGTCCCTGGATTTTCTGGTACACACTGTGAAAAAGTACCCACTTAAAAGTTCTAGGAAGAAGCTCAGGCCCTGAAAGACAAACATCAGTTGGGTCCAGAGATACCTGAGTTGGGGGTGAACTTTGGTGAACTCTCTTCATTACCATACTAAAAACCCCACCCTGGGAGGAGCTTCTTGGCCATTTGCTATTGATACCATGTATGTAGAAGCATGATGGGCATGTGCCTGTGCTGCCTTTACTCCACCTCTACATACAATGACTCAGCTAACCAGCTCAATCAAAGCCCTGTTTTCATCTTTGAGGAGACACTGTTTTGGGTAACTATACTGGGTATCCTCCTTACTTGTTGCAAGTAATAAAATCCCCTTTTAAAATCTTCCTTGGTTGTGGGTTGTGGTCATCGGACTGTCATTTGCCAAGTAATTGAACCCACCTGTCATGTGGGTAACAATCTCTGGCTGAGGTTGCACACATAAAGTGTCTGAGTATCTTTGTAATTTAAAATCTTTCTGCAAATGTACACAATATGAGTCCCCTCCACCCCCAATAACACTGGAACTACATTTCCCAGGCTTCCTTTCTTGCTTTCTGGCTTCTAGAGGTCTCAGTTCAAGAAAGTCCTTATGGAATACTGGAGGGAGAGGGGAGAACCAGATTATACCATTGCTTGCTTCCCCAGGTCTCAGGCAGCCGCTGCATTTCGGAAGATCCTGCTTTTATCAGACAGTCCTTCTTCAGGTCCCTGGTAATTCTGGGCAGCCCATCTGTGGTTGTTCAGCTCCATTGGTACTTTCTACTGTTGCATTCCAAGTCAAAACGTGGTAGCAAGTTTTTGCTATTGCAAAGTTCATCCCTTGTTGTGCTTCTCTATTCTTTTACCACCGTTATGTAATCTTTTCTTATTTTTATTTTTGTATGACATTCTTCTGTTTAAATACCTAGTTTTCTTCTTCCTGATTGGACTTTGGTAAAATTCCCAAGATTTTACCACATTTGTTTTACTCTTTTTCTTTCTGATGCATTTTAGTAAATCTGAGGCATCACTCCGTTTCACTCATACAAACTGTGAGATGCATCTCTAAAAATATGAATATGTTCTTATGTAACTGCCATCTTATTGGAACTCACAAAATTAATACTTCCTGGGTATCATCCAATATCCTTTCTAAATTCACTTCTCCATGAAAATTTTTTTTTTTCTTTACAGGTGGCTTGTTTAAAATAGGATCTAAACAAGGATCACACGTTACAGTTGCTTTTTATGTTTCTCCTAGCTCTTTCAATCTGAAACCTCACTGCTAATCATTTTTTGAATGCTATTGACTCATCGAAGAAATTGTTTGTCATCTTGTAACATATCTCAGATTCTAGGTTTGTCTAATGTTTCCTAGTCTTGTTATGTAATTGGTTTCTTTTTTTAATTCCCTTTTAACTGAGAGGTAGCTCTAGGAGCTTTTCAGGTTTCAGCCCAAGCTGGAGTCTGAGGAGAATCTGTAGACAGGTTGTAGGTAGTTGAAAGAACACTCAGAAGACATAGACAGTTGGGATACGGCTTTAATCTCTGTCAGCCTTTGTCTCAGCTGCCTGCTCTGGCCGCAGCCCCTCTCAGTGCTGGCTCCAGGACTTCTGCAGCCCCAAGGCATGCATCTGTGCTCCCTGGCACACTCATGGCTTTCTGGCTCCCTGATGTCCACCTGCAAGGCGGCTGGCTGTCTCTTTGTCCGCCTGCAAGGCGGCTGGCTCCATTATGTGGGTCCTCTCACAGTGTTGATATATTTATGCACTTCACAGGCAACAGTGGTTCAGAGTCAGTGATGAGCCCACTCATAACATGGTTACATAACTGAGATTATATAATGCATGAGATTGTGCACCTGCGCTCCAGTCCTGCTGTGCTATACTGCACTGGATGTTGTACTGTACTCGGCCTACTCTAGACTACAGTGCAGCCATTTCCTTTACAGGGCTCGTTTACCTTAAAATATTTTTGTTTGGTTTTGTTTGTTTGGTGTTTGATTTCTCAAGCATATCCAAACGTGGTGTTGTGTGTCTTATATTGCAGCCTATCAGGGGTAGACAGTGACAGTTTTTTCTATTAGTGATCAGTGGGATAAAATGATGACTGATCTCTCCTTTGGAAAGTCCTTCATTAGTGTTGTTCACACATATTCCATTTTTCCCTTCGAGCACAAGCAGAATTGAACCTCCAAAACTCTCTTGAAATTAGATATAACCATGTGAATTGATGTAGCCAAAGAAATATGGCATTTACAGGTGGAAGCTTTTAAGAGCCAGTCTGCAAATCATCATATAACCTTTTTTGCTTCAGAATCAGGGAGGAATGTTCTAGATGGATCCCTCAGTGACTCCGAATGGAAAGGTCCTTTTGTCAACTAGCATTGGACATGCATCATGAGTGAGAAAGCAGTGTTTTAAGCTGCTGAAATTTTGGGGTTATTACTACAGTGCAGCACAGCCCTTCATAATTAGTATACTTATCTGCCAAGTCTCAATTGGTTTCATCCATTATTGATCATTGTCTGAATCAGTTATTTCACTGGGAATTGTAAAATGGTGCTCTTTCCCCCTCCCCTAATTCTGGTATTCATTTTACATTAATCAGCTAAAATTCTTTTGCACAGGAGAATTTAATACCATTTATCAATCCTCTTGGATTGAAAAAAAAAAAAGAATGAGTGTTTCTATACACTTGTATTTAATATTTTCTAACTTGTTAACAATTACATTTTACTTTAATTCTTGTCTTTAACTCACAGGGTAAGATAATCTAATTTTGGATATTTACTTCTTTGGGGCATAACTTAAATGGATCTAATCTTCAGATTTCAATTCTTCTCTGAGAGCTTTATAATGCAAGAGAGTTTACATTAAAATTGGTTATCTAATTGTTAGCATTGAAACGTTTTATTATTGCAGTATCTGGGTATTGTCAATTAATCTCAATGCAGAAATTTAGATGAATTATTTGGCAAGAAAATTTGAAATAAAAATAGAAACTGGTTTTTAGTCATAAGAAAAGTCTTGTCAAATTACTACTAATTCATTTCAGAACATTTGCCAGGGCTAGAGAGATGTGGTGGCATCTAAATGATCCATGAATAGGCTTGGAGTAACTCAAAGTACCAGGAAAATAGTCTTCTGAAGACGGGAGCAGGATTGTGAATCTGCTCCCCCAATTTTCCATAGTTAGCAACTGGATTATCTAAATCCAACATGTTAAGATACAAGTTGGCAGTGAACTATTATTACTGCTCCTCAATTATTTCCCAACCCTGCAAGCTGACTCTGGAAATTAACACCTAGTCAAAGAGTGGACCGAAATGTTCTCTATATAGAGGCAGCAGATCCCAAAAGTGAAGGGAAGGATTTGCTAAATATTCCCATATTCTTCCAAGCTCATCAATCAGATTCAAGTTTTTTGTTTGTTTGTTTTGGTGCAAGAGAAGTTAAGGGTAAAGAGACAGGTTAGGATGGTAATTTCTATTCAGAGAAATGTTAGCATGCCCATTTTATTGAAGACTTAAGCAATGTCCTCTAATCTGTCTTTAATTATATTTTAAATTAATAATGAAAAAGACATTTTGATCCCCAGAGTCTAATTCCTAAATCTATCCTTTTGTTAATTCTGAGCTCGGGTTTGCTTATTGGCTTTTGAAAACCAAAGCAATGTTCTCAGTGAGGGATGATACTCTAGGTATGCTTCTCTTTCACCTTGATACAGTTCTCTATTTTTCTCCTTCTTGTCTTAATTTTTCTTTGTCATAAAAACTTTAGTAATTATTTAAAAATGTATTTAAAACCATCATAAAATGATACTGAGGAAGAAGAAGTATTCTGTTTTGCACATATTAATTTGAGATGACCAGGAGGCACCTATCTGGAGGAGATTATGCAGATTTGGGTGACAAGAGAAAGACAGAAGTAGAGATTAGCAGTTTGGAAGCCATTCATATGTAGAGCACAGTTGAAGCTATGGGTACAGAAGAGCCTGCCTTGAGCCAGTGTGTTGGTAGACGTCTGGAATACTTCAGAAAACAACACTTAAGAGTTGGGAGAAGAGAAACAGCCTGATATTCATATTAACTCAATGTCTCTAAATCATTATGGCATGTACCCTCCCCTGTAGAGTTGACATCGTCAGACTTAGTCATTAAAAAGTCAATTGCAAGTCCTGGTAGAAGCTTATGGCAGTTTTCTATCTTTGAGGTCTATGGAGGACTATAACAGCATTGAATGAGCAAACCATAGGAATTCAAAGTCAACAATGACATTAATAATAAAGAGATTGAGGTTCAACATGGAATTCACTTGAAAGTTCTTAAAGCTTTCTGCATATAGATAAACATATCTATGAAAACTGTGGGCTGCTTCTGCAGAATTAGTAGGCTCATCAGATTTTTGTTTTTTGTTTTTCCCTATCATGCTATTCCTTTGACTTTCATTGAAACAGAGACAATGGTCTATCTCAACAGCACAGCATTATAGACTCTGTAAGATGTCATTACCTAGACAGTAGTAGTAGACAAGAAAAACCTACAAAAGGTCCAGGCTGGGATTATGAATGGATGTGGAAAAGTTGCTGGAGCCTAGCTGGTGAGAAGGAAGCAAGTTTAGAGAGTGAGGCCTTACTCAGGGCCTTTATATTTCTCCCTGGCTGGAATATCTGCCTCTTTGATATCATTGTTAGTGGATCTGAACAGTGAATGGGGTAGACTGAAGCAGACTCTGCCAGTGCCCCACTCCTATCTCATCAGCCCTGGTATTACCTTATACACAATGCTTTCTTTCTGCAAGACCCTGCAACACTGAGGGTTTTCTCTGTGAAAGTAGAGTAGATAGGAAACACCAGTGAGTTGCTCCTCAGGAGGTACTAGGTTGGTGCAAAATAATTGTGGTTTTTCCATTAAAAATATGGCCCAAACCGCCATTACTTTTGCACCAACCTAATAGCTCCCACAACCAATGATGGACAGGAGTGGGAGGATAAACTCCCATCTTCCTTACTTCTGCGTGTGACATTTCTGAGGAATAGTTACAAACACTACACCTAAACCCAGCAAGATTGAGCCCCTGATGCCCATAGAGGTCATATGTTCATGACTGAACCCAGTGTTGGCTTTCTTCCCTTTCTTGTTGCACTTCTCCAATCTCTTTCTGGTGCTTCTTGGAATCAGCTGCTAAATAAAGTTGTATTCACTTTGTCTCAAGGTCTGCTTCTGGGGAAACTAAAGACAGATAGCTTGGTTAAACTGAAGAAATAAAATACATCATTGGAAGAAAGATTGAGCCTTAAAGGACAAACTTGACAGATATGAAAGGAAAAATGCAAACTTGAAGTCCAATATGTTCCTTGAAATATGAAAAAGAGTGATGTCTAGAATTTGTCATAGTAGATGGTAGAAGAAGGAAATGAAAGGCACAGAGAAGTGGCGATGCCAGAATGGAAATGTTACGTAAGTCCAGAAAACACAGCAGGTGATTTTATTTCATGGGAAGGTTCAGAAGTTACACTATTTACTAGGGTTTGAGGGAATGGTCTGGTGAGAGGGGCACCATCATCACTAAGAACTTAAGTGGTGGCTCCCCTCCGTAGGCCAGGACTGATGGTGGGAGAAGCAAATACATTTTAATCTCACTGATCTCCGTTGGGATGATGATGCAGAGACCTCTATGTTTGAATTATTCATATTTCTTTACATTTCTACTGCATACTAGCCAATTCTCTGAGCTCATGTCTTTCTTTTTTAAAAATGAGACTTTGCCAAATGCAACAAGTAACCACCACCACACCCTACTAAGATTCTGTTTTTCAATGTTTTTGAGTAGAGCTATAAGCTTAGTATGCTTATCGTGTGCCTTCAAAGTTCTCTTAGGCAATCATTTATCAAATGCTTTGCTATGACATAACATGGATTTCCAGTCATCCAGCCTGCTTTCTTACGCTAATATAAACAGCATTTTTGAAGATGGGTGCTCTGATAACAAAAAGGCTGAAAAAGGGGGCATCAGACCGTGGATAGTGTAAGAAAACAAAAGTTCAAAATCTCAGTGGCTTACCAGAATCCATGTTTTTTTCTCACTCATGTCATAGTTGTTGGACGACTGAGTGATCTTTCCTGTGTTTTAGGGATCCAGATTCTTTCCATCTGGTGGCTTCACACTCTAGGAATCCTTCATTGGGTCCCTGTTTCCATCCAGGAGACGAAGAAGAGGCATGGAGAGGATCATTGAGAAGTTTCTGATGCCAGACTTGGAAATTAATTTAAATGTTTTTGTCTTCATTTCATTGGCTATTACTTAGTTTATCCCCATTCTCTGGGCTGCAGCTTCAAGGAGGCTGGAAAGTACAGACTAGGTACTGTGCCCAAGAAAAGGCAAATCATGGGTATTGATGAGCACTAGTATCCTCCAACACTCTGAACATGGATTGTTTATTTTTTTTTCTGAATTAATGCTAATTTTCCTTATTCTAAGGAAAGCCTCATGAAGGCAGAGACTACTGTTTATCATTATGTCCTCAATATCTACAAGCATGATAGGCACACAGTAGGAACTCAGATATTTGTTGAATGAATGCTTTACTGAGTGAATAATGAGTGAATGGATGGATATGTGTCCATGAATGAATCAACACGTTAGTACAGTAGGAAAAATCATATCCAAGCAGGGAGGAGCAAGCGTTGAAGTCCAGAGGGAAATTTAAGGTCAAGTTTAACAAGTTTAACTAGAGACAAAGCATACATCCTAAAGCTGGTATTTTGTTGCTCAGGTGGAGGAGGAGATATTTTGAAGGCCCTCTTAAATGTATTATTTTTGAGGACAAAGTCTTAAGAAATATAGTGAGTTTATGCATTCAATATTATAGCATACAGAATTACTTAAAAGCTGTATTTTTATTGGAATGGGCTATTGGGAAAGTTTTTAGCCTTAAAAGTCATTGTTTTGTTTAGCCATAAACATCATTGTTTCTAAATTTCTAAAAATTATTTAGAAAATGTTTACTTTAAAAACCTTAAAATATGTTGTTTATAAGACCACTCTTGTGAATTTTGCAGGTTGAAAATATAGATGTTTTGAAGTGCTATTGAAAAATATTTCTTTGAGTTGATTTGTAAGTACTTTCTTATTACCTGTTATGATGTAATGGACTTAATATAAAATTCATTACATCACATTCAAGGGTTAAGTTTGAGAGCAATTCAATTTACTCTAAACTTATAATAGGAGTTAGTATTTGATTGCTAAAGAAATGGGGGCATGGAAAGAGCCAGGATCTGGAGTCAGTAAAACTGGGGCTGAAATTCAGATCCTGCTACTCCTAAGCTAGAGGTCCTTAGCTATGTTACGTATCTTCTCTCGGCATTTTATAAAAATCGTTAGTAAAATAAGACTAATATTTCTATGCTAACATTGTGAGGATCAAATGGGAGTGAAGATGCAGAAAACTTAGCAGTGTCTGACATTTTGCAGGCTCTCACAAAAGAAATAAACCCAAAATCTAGTTTGGCCTCTCTCTCTCCTCCCCATGTGTGATAGGATTCTCCAAACAGAGAATTCTTTTCCCTACTCCTCCATCAGTACCCATAAGCTAAAATTGACTTATCAACCTGAGGCCATGCTACCTAGTAGGGAGCAATGCTAGGCTGTCCCTAATTCTCTCCTCCCCATGTGTTAGGGATGGCCTAACATTGCCCTCCAATGGGCAACATGGCCTCACATGCTAAATCAGTTTCAGCTTATGGGTACTAATTGAGGGGTGGTGAAAAGATTGCCAGCTTCTTCCAGGTTCAGCAGAAAAGAACACCTGGGTTTGCTGACTGGAGTTCTTTGTTCAATGTCTTGTATAAATCCTACCTATAGGCCTGGCACGGTAGCTCATGCCTGTAATCCCAGCAGTTTGGGAGGCTGAAGCGGGTGGATCACCTGATGTCAGGAGTTTGAAACCAGCCTGGCCAACATGGTGAAACCTTGTCTCTACTAAAAATACAAAAATTAGCTGGGTATGGTGGCACACGCCTGTAGTCCCAGCTACTCGGGAGGCTGAGGCAGGAGAATCGCTTGAACCTGGGAGGCAGAGGTTGCAGTGAGCTGAGATCACGCCACTGCTCTCCACTCTGGGCGACAGAGCGAGACTCCGTCTCAAAAAAATTCCTACTGTAATACAGCATTTGCCGTCTCCTGTTACTACTTCCTTATAAGTGAAGTAACTTAAAAGAACTATACTGCAATGCATTTTGAAAGTGAAACTTTCCTAGGTTTTTATGATTTTGTTCCCAAAACATTGGTCATGTTCTGATGACCAACAGCAATTTTACATTAAATTTTATTGTTTTTCCAAAGTAGTCAATGACTTGTTCAGAGAAACAATTTTCCTTTTATACCCCTACTGCTTCAGTTTACATGATATTTAATCAAATTTCATGCTAACTATACAGTAAATACAACTGTCATAGGCAGTTCTGGGAAGAAGCACAACTTGTTTGGCACACAACTCCGTGGGTGGAGCAGAAGAGCAGGCACATATCACAGATCGGAACCTACAAACACAACTATTGATAAGTTTTAAAGCAGGAAAGCAAACTTTTGATTAGTCCAGCGAGTCAGTTAAGCAGAAGTTGGTTAAAAGAGCTTATACAAACTGAATTATAGACTACTACATAGCTTTCTCTTGCAGAAAACATAAAGTGAATATAAATATGAAACGGGGCTACTTCTGTGCAATACTAAACATTCAGAACAAAATTGTAAATTAACATCAGCCATCCAGATGTTTTAGTTTGTAAAGACATAATTTTAGTGATTGGATATTTCAGTTTGCATCTGAATGTTCCTATTTTAAACAAAATGTCACTTCATTTTAGGTGCTCGATAAATACTTGTTCAATTTTAAAAGTAAACTCAGTGAATTGAAGCATTATCACAGTTTTCTGATCTTAAATAGCTGTTCAGTCTTGGCATTGTTGAACAAAAATGTCCTGTGTGATGTGCTGCCACATGCTGGCTAGATAAGACTCTCAGATATCACATGGTTAATAGTTTACAAAGTAAACTTAAAAAAGGAAAAAAAAAATAATCCAAGGGGCTCAATTGATTGAAAAGTACATATACCCAAAAGACATGGAACTGTTTCAGTGAAAGAAGTTCAAGAGACCTTGGTGGTATAGACAAGGCAAAGAGAAAGTAGAATGTATTTTGAAAGATAAAGAAGGAAGCTGAATTTGAAAGATGCAAATGCAACCTCCTGGGCACAGCATGAATATTTCCTAGTGTTCATTAAAAAAGGCAAAAAAAGAAAGAAAAAAGGCTGAAGGCTAAGCCAGAGGCAGTGAGAAGCCAAACAAAGGCAGCAAAGAGTGGGATGTGTAGGCAAGTTATTGCTTAGGCCAGCAGCCAGGGCTACTGACCCGAGACTACATTTCCCTCCTGAAGACTCTTGGCCATATTCGGGGGTCTTAGTTTTGGAGACCTGGGTGTTTAGTCCACAGATCCTAGTTCTAATATTGTTAGTTGCCCAGGAAAATGCAAACTTTAAGGTTTTGCCTCAGTGTTTTTCTTTGCTTTGTTTCTCTCTTGCCCTTAGAGATTTCACTTACTTCCTGAATATCTCAGCAATATATCTAAAAGCACAATTGTTATAATTTATAGAGGACAGGAACTCATTTCACAGTAGAGGAGTTTGTCCGAGTATCCTGTCCATAATATTGGGGGAAGCTTGCCTGATAATTTCCTAGGAACATCAAAAATGAGAGTGGAGCAGATGTCTAATTAGAATACATATATAGATCTCAGCTTGCATTAAATAAAAAGAACGGTTTCTGCAATTTACTTCAGTCTTTTTCTTCAAATGCCACCTAGCATCTTTCTTCTCAGGGCTCTTTTGTGAATATAATATCAATGTAATAGATTATTTGTGAATATAATATCAATGTAATATATTTTCTTATCGATATTATATTTGATATTAATATCTAGGTATTAGCAGACAACAAAATATTTCTAATGTGATTGTAATTGTTTCTTCTTATGAAATGGCATTTGTGATTGGTAAGAATAAAACAAATTGAGTTCAATGCTGCTAAATTTCAGGTAACAGAAATTTTCAAAAGCTCTCAGATAACCTTACCATCATTTCTGAGATATAATAGGATTGTGCTTTGTAAATGGTACTTTTTGGATTTTTGATAATGTATCATTCAAAATAAATAACTTTTCTTTTGTTTAAACATAAAGTAAAATAATGATATATTTAAAATATTTAGGCTTTGCTAAGTAATAGTTCTTGGGTCATAGTCCCTTGACCCAAAACTTTTTTTACATATTTCAGATGAACAGCTAAATATTAATGTGTGCTTAAGGTAATTCAAATAACAGAATAGTGTACATTAATTTGATATGGGTTGGAGGAGGCCTCTCTGAGATAATAAGAAAACATTAAAAAGCTACTTGGTAGGCTGAGGTGAGGGGATGGCTTAAGCCCCGGAGTTTGAGGCTGCAGTGAGTTAAGATTATAACGCTGCATTCCAGAAGAGGCAACAGCTTGTCAGTAAAAAAAAAAAAAAAAAAAACTAAAACAAATGAAACATAAAAAGATTGTATTGACTATATAAAATTAAAATATTCTGTACATAAAAAAGTACTATGTTCAATCAGAATATGAACTACAAATTAGATATAGAATAAATTGTAACAAAAGCTAAGTTAAATATGTAATGTATTCCTGTAGAATAAAAATATTTAAACACCTCCATATAAGAGTTTTCAAAAACATAATTTTACCTTTCTCATAGCTGAAGTAACAGAACTTTAAATAATGTTATCATATTTTAGCAGAAAGTTTAAAAAGATTATAATGCCCAATGCTGGAGAGATGAAGTATGGTGGATTTTTTTAAAAGGTGTGTACTTTTATGAGCTACTTGGGTAAGCTTATACCAGTACATGCTTTTTGTGGGACAAAATGGTAACAAGTGTCAGAAATCTTAAAAATAATATCTTTGATATAGTAATTTTACTTTTTGAAAGTTGTGTTTAAGAAATCAGAAATATACTTTATTATATATTATAATATATATTATAATCAGAATTATACTTTAAGTTCTAGGGTACATGTGCACAATGTGCAGGTTTGTTACATATGTATATATGTGCCATGTTGGTGTGAATTATAATAAAAAGTAAAAAAAAATCAGAAATATATATATAAGATTTAGTTAAAATAGTATTTACTTCAGCATTATTTATAATATAATTGAAACAACATCAAATCCAACAAAAGGGATAATGATCAAATTAATTATGATATATCTGCATTATGGAGTATTATGCCGTCTACTTAATTTAATAGGCTAGAATGTTCATGGTTTATATTTAGAGAACAGGAGGTTTCCAAAAATCTGTATAATGCACTTCCATTTTATATGTGTAAATTATGCAAAAGATGAGAGTAACATCACAAAATATTAATAGTAACAATTTTGGATACTGAGATTATGGGTAGGCTTATTTTTATGTATATTTTTTTCTATGGTATAACATTAAACATGCCATACTTAGCAAATACTCCTTCGTATTCACATATTTCTGTATTATCAATCTCTTAATGTGATAATTTTATAGGGAAGGATTCTCAGTTGCACCAGGCAGAAGTTTAATTTTACTTAAAGGGTGAAAAGGAGGAGGGAGGTACAGCAGGGGTAGATAAGAAAGGATACAAAAGAGATGTTTTCTTTGCTCTCTTTTTTTTCTTTAGAAAATATTTTTATTTTGCATTCATTTAAAAGTGCCTTGTACCATGTTTCAGTGGTAGGTGTGAGTGAAAAAGAAAATAGAGGACAAACAGCTAAATAGATGGATTTTGTAATCCATTTAAATATATTATTGATATGTGTGATAATCCATTGCATTATCTATTCATGAATAGAAATTATTCTTTTAATAAAAATGCGAACAGCCTTTTATTTTTGCTGTACATTTCTACCAAATACCAAATACTATTTTGTTGTCATTTCAATTTCCTCTGGTTGCTGAGGATGTACTCTTTGAATTCAGTATGTTTTGACAGTCCTTCAATTTCTCAAAGTTTAAAATGTGAGATATTTGCTAATAGAACGATTTGTTCTCATGCACAACTGTGGTCAGGAAAGGGGAAGCCAGTAAACTCAGAGTGTAGTCTTGCCTGAGAGAGAGGTCACAGGACAGCAAAACACAGCATATTATTACCCCATGTAGTTGAGTTACATTGTTTTGTCATAAATATATGTGGAATAAACATTTTTTCTATGTATAAGCAGCCCATGAACTATTGCTCTCCTTTTCCTGTCTTCACTAGGATCAGATCACAAATGCATTCACAGTTTCCCTAGTTACAGGAACTTTTGCAAATTTCTATGGAAGACTCACCTTTTCATTTCTGCGTCCGTGTCTCTAATGCAATTTCAGATACATTGGGTTTTCTGAATTCTAGACTTTAATTAATTATAGGTACTTAATTGCATTATCTGGGCTTGTAGACTTTCAACATATTTTTGATGATGGTATACTGTTGACTCCCTCAGTACTGCTTTTGTTTTCATAGCTTCCAGAATTTTAGCTTTATACTGTCCCTGGCCTCGCTGAGATATTTCTAATCCTTATACTTGCCCCAGGACTCTGTTACTTACTCCAGTATTATTAAAATGCTTATCTCAAGGGTCACCTCTTTCTGTTTGTTCCATCTTAATGTAGTTTTGGTTTTCTATATAAATGGAAAGGTGTTGTTTAGCAATTTATATTTTCCAACTAAAAGTATGATTTGGTGATCTTTCCAGGCTGATGAATATGGATAAATTTCATTTTTTTTTGAGTTGCTACGGAAGAGCATCACAGTATTGTATTACAATATTTATTCTTCTATTGATAGACAAATAATGGATTTCTACTTCTTTTGTTATAAACAATGCTGTGATGAAAATACTTATATATTTCTGTGTATGTGTTAGAAGTACAAAACTATGCGACAGAGCAAGACTCCATCTCAAAAAAAGAAATACAAAACTATGCAATGGATACATAAATTTGAATTCTTAGATCAAAGGTTATATACTTTTGAAATTCTAGTAATGAATTACTTTTTATCAATACTGTCAAATTATCCATTAATATGGCTATATTAGTTTCTACTCTATCAATCATGTTTAAGAGAATGTCTGCTCCAGGTGTGGTGGTTCACACCTGTAATCCCAGCACTTTGGGAGGCTCAGGCAGGAGGATTTCTTGAAGCCAAGATTTTGAGATCAGCCTTGACAATGTAGGCAGACGCCCATCTCTGCAAAAAAAAATTAGAAAATTAGCTGGATCCAGTGGCACATGTGTGTAGTCCCAGCTACTCGAGAGGCTGAGGTAGGAAGAATGCTTGAGCCCAGGAGTTCGAGGCTGCAGTGACCCATGATTGGGAGCCTGTGTGTAAAAAAACAAAAACAAAAACAAAAAAACACACACGCACACACAAACAAAAACAGAGGGTCCATTTACCCACATTTTTATCCACTTTGGCTGTAATCACTCTCCTTAATTTTTACCAGTTGGATGATTTTAAAAAACCTCTTACTTAAAGTTACATAGTAAGGGTGAGCATATTTTCATCTGTTTATCGGTGATTTGTATTTCATTTTTGTGACATTTTCTGTTATGGTTGATGGCTCGTTTTTATATTTAAAAATTTATAGAAGTGCTTTATGTATTATACAATTATTTTCTTCTTTTGTTATTTTGAAATGTCCTTTTCTTATTGTGAACTATAATACATATGCAGCCCCAGAAAAATTTATATCAACTTACTAGTAGAGCAAACAACCATGTATCCACTCAAGTTAAAAAAAATGCTTTTAAAAAGTTTTAAAGAATTCTTCCTGTTTTTTTCACGTGTCTGAAGTGGAAGGGTTAACCTAAATCAATTTGTTTGCTGTAACCACAAGCAGAAGTCTTTTATTCCTTTTTTAAAATTTTTTACATATTTTATGTATTTCCATAGGAATGATAGTAGTTTTATTCATATAATTGGTTAGACCTATAAAACCCACAGATAAACCTTCTGTCAGTTTAACAAGGGTTGTCTGTGTAGTGAAGAGCTCATATTTTGTTTGCCCATCTCCCACTCCTTCTGGGAATGGTAAAATCCCTGCCTCCTGACCACAGAGGTTTGAGGTGATAGACTGGGAAATGAAAATATGAGGTTATTCTCTTTCTGGTGGCTGAAAAGGAAGCCAAGAAGTAGAGACAAACAAATGTGGGCAGAGGAAGAGAGATTATAGAAGAAATAATATTTGAGTTCATTTTTCAAGTTTTATTCTGGGGCCCTGTAACAATTCTGTACTTAAATTCCATGATAGTGTTGTTAGGATGATTTTCTTTTATGTTTAAGCTGGCTCAGGATGGGTCTTTTCTATGGCATGTGACAAGAACATGTAATGCATATAGAACAACTACCTGATTTTGAGATAGATTAATTTATTTCCTTTCAATAGAGAGTTTGGATGTAAATTTGTAGGAAGGGCATTAACACACCACTATGTGCAGATAAGCTTATTGATGAGATGTTGCTATCCTTCTTCCTTCTGTTTCCATATTTCAAAGTTTAGTAAAATTGAGGGAAGATTAGGTAATAGATTAACAGGGAGAAAGAAAGGATAAGAATTTGTTAAAGGTTACTAAAAACACCAGATAAAATGAATAATAGGGTTGTAAATTTCACTTACTGTGTTTTCTGATCTAGAAGTGCTAGTTAGCTCTCTGTCTAAAAAGTGAGCCGTTAGCTCACTTTTGGGACTGGGTGCATTGGCTGATGCCCATAATCCCAACATTTGTGAGGCCAAGGTGGGAAGATTGCTTGAGCCCAGGAGTTCGAGACCAGGCTGGGCAACTTAGTCAGACCCTGGTGTCTATACAAAATTTAAAAAATTAGTTGGGCATGGTGGTGCGTGCCTGTAGTCCGACTTACTTGGGAGGCTGAAGTGAGGATTGCTTGAATGCAGGAGCTCAAGGTTTCAGTGAACTATGATCATGCCACTGCACTCCAGCATGGGTGACAGAGTGAGACTCTGTCTCAAAAAGAATTGTCACATTACTTTTTGTAGTTTTTAGTTTCTTTCAGATATTTTAAAGATTTTAAAAATTTCTTTTATCATAATTATTTCATATTATGTGTGATAATTTCAATATAAGAAGTCTTTATGACTCCATTTCAGTTGTGTCTGATTTCTCTGGATTTGAGCTCAAAGTGTCTTGTTTCCTTGGACGTTGGTGGCCTTGTACACCTGGTTCTCCAAGTCCTGAGATTAAACTTTTACAGAAAAGTTTAATCTTAAACTAGTAGCTTATTCCAGTTTACTCTTTTTCAGACAGCCCTAATTTAAAGAAGGGGTGGTGGTGCTTGTCAGACTTTCTACTTAGGTAGGTGCTGGCTTTTACTTTCGTTGTCCACATTCTAAGAAGCTACTAAAATGTCAGATCTCCTCACAGCTATATCTTCATATAGACAAATGCCCTCTGTACCAAAGCAGTTTTGCAAGTTGTTCTCACTTTATTGGGCTCCCCCATTTTCCTAGATTTTGGTCTGGTAATTTTCAGCCAAATTATAATTTATATATATATATACACACACACACACACACACACACACATATGTATATCTCATACAATACGCATATAATATAGAGTTTTAGCTGTCCTCATTAGGAGAATTGGTCTGTCTTATCTGGTCCAGCATATGAGAAGTAGAGGTCCTTCCCAGCACTGAAAGCAGAGCAGTGGTTGCTAGAGCCTGAGGTTGGAATGAGGATTAACTTCAGATGGCTATGAGAAAATGTTTTAAGGTGATACAAATGTTCTAAAACTACATCCTGATCATGGTTGCACAATAATATAAATTTACTAAAATGCAATCATCTGTATCCTTAATATGAGGAAGTTTTACGGCATATGAATTATACCACACTAAAGCTGTTTAAAGAAGAAATGCAGAGGAGATGATGAAAAGAGTGAGAGAAATCTCGGCTAGACTGAGAGGGAGTATGAAAGTACAGAGAGCTTATACTCTCCTTACCTGTTTGGTTTCAGGAAGGAGATCTGTGCATAGGGAGCCCCAAGGCCAACGTGGAGTGACCACAGCAGAGGAGAAACATGATTTGGCATGTTTGGGCAGGGAGAGTGCTGAAGATTGCTGTTCTCTTTTAAATACTGTGTTAGCTGGGTGGCATGGAGAGAGATATAAAATTTCACGCTTGCTTCTTGTAGAGGACTTGGAATGTAGCTGAGCAAGAACCAGTGACATCCCTGTGGTGAGAACCATGTTGGGGAGGCCATGGCATGGGCAGCTGAGGCAGAGGCCAGATGGAGAAAGTAGAGGAGACCCAGAAGATCTCAAGTGCACGCAGGAGTTGAGGCTGGGAGTTTCAGGTGAAAGGCAGGAACCACCTGGCATGCTGAAAGAATAGACCACGAGCTACACACACTGAACGTTCTAGAAGCAGAGGTGGTAGGGACAGGAGCTGACAGACCTGCAAAGATAAAATGGCTGTGCAATAAACCCTATACCTCCTCTCCATCTGGACCTCAACCACAGATGGATGGGAGCCCCTGCCCCTCCAATTCCCTGAGCATATATGAGCTTTACCTTGTTCCCAGAAGCTGTCTTGCAAAAAAGGAAAATAGTCCTTCTGAGGGAGGAACGACAGCCTTGATAAATAGTTTGACCTTTGAATTGGCTGAATATTTTTCTAAAAGGGACTTTTAAATAAAAAAGACCATTTTGAACCAGAAGAGAATGATTCACCTCTAATTGGCATTTTAACACTCTGTCTCCACCCCACCCCCAGCCATATGCCAGAATGGGTGTTTGGCAGCCAACTCAGTGCATTTGCTTCAAAATGAAGACACTTCACTTCTGTTATACATCTGAGCTATAATGTGTAAATGTTTGTTCCCCCACTGCTGCATCAGCTATCATCTATCAATAACCAAACAAATTTTCCATGTGGGGGGATGATTGTCAAATAATATGTGTCCATATGAATAAGCAAGAGGTATTTTGCTTCTTGTAGATGAGGAAGCCTCATGGCACTGTGTGAAAATCTGTAGCCTCTTCGTTTTCTTTGTCAGTGCTAGTATATTTCATGTCTGCTTAAAAGATCATCAGACAAACTGGTTAAGATGGTGCAGATTTTCAATAGTGTGGGTACTGTTTCCATTTCTCCCAGTTTCAACCAACTTGGTCAACTCTCTGCACTGGAAATAGCACGCTAATTTTGAAACTTTAAGACCTATTTCTGTTGTTGCTACTGCTTTATATCCTCTTCCTCCTCTCCACCTAGTCCAATTGCTTCCCTTTCTACTAGGCTCAGCTTGTACCCCCTCCCCCACGAATTCTTCTCCAAGCACTTTAAATCATACGCATTTCCTACCCCTCTGAATTCACGAAACATTTAAATAGAGATATTTGGTTCTCAACCACACACTGCCTAGGATAGTAATGTAACCATCTTTTATGTGTTGATCTAAAATCTCTCCCAAGCTTCATGAGGTTAGAGCTACAGCCTATATTTCTTTGTACATACTCAGAGTGTATGTTCCATTGTTTGGTGTCAATCAAATCTGAGCACCTCCGCTGCTCTTTTACTTTATTAGCTATATGCCTCTGAAGCAAATAGCTTCTTTTAGCCTCAGTTTCTTTGTGAGGTTGTTGAGAAGGCTAGTGAGATTAGGTATGTAAGGACTTTAGCTTGTGTGTGTATAGTTGATGGCACACAAATAATAAATGTCAGCTATCATTGGGAAAGATCCTTGAAGGCAGGAATTGCAACTTCTTTCTTCCTTCTTGTTGACTAACCTTCAAAATGCATTCATGTCCAACCACTTCTCATGTCCTTCCCAGCTACAAGCCTCCACCGATCCTGGGCCCTGTCATCTCTTGCCTGGATGGTGGCAGTACCTCTTGACAACTCTCCCTGACTCTCCCCTTACCAGCCTGAAGTCTATCCTCCATACAGAGTCCAGGGAGACTGTACTGAACTGAAGAGTCATGGGACCTCGGATAAAGTTAAAAACATTTGTAGCTTCTTATTTCCCTTTCTGTAAAATCCCAAGTCATTGTAAGGACTGCTTCCATCACCAACTCCCTGACTTCGTCTTCTACCTCTCTACTCTTCAGTCACTCAACTCTGGTCACACTGGTCTCCTGCTTTCTGAGGACTGCAGCAGGGATTTATCATTCTCAGGACCTTCATTTTTCTTTTTCACGTGTATGACTTGCTCCCTCATATTTTATGGGTCTCTGCTCAAAATGTCACCTTATCAGAGAGGTCTTCCCTTACTACCCAATGTAAATACCATAACTCACGCAATCTTCCAAAACTCTCTATCTCCCTTACTTGGCTTTATTTTTCTTTTATTCACTTATTCTCTGAGGTATTATATTTCCAACTATTCACTTGTTTTCTGTCTTCTTCCGCTGGAAGGTAAGCTTCATGTGGATAAAGCTTTATGTTGTCCTCTGCTCTATTTCCAGTGCTTTAAAAAGTACCTGGCAAAGTGCATAAAAGAATGAAGACATTAATGAAAAAGTAATTAAGTAATGGCATACGTTTAACAGCTATATGTTGAAAAGTCATCTGAATGGTGTTAGCAATAGAAATGAGATTTTTCAATATACGAGCTTACGCTATAACCCCCAAAGTTTCAGCACATTTTTTAACTGAATACATTTCAATAGTCTACATTTTGATTATGTTAGGATGGCCATATTCATTCTATCACCCTATACCTTATATTGTTTATGTTGCACCATACCCTCTTTGTGGTGAGTATATTGTTATTTACTGTGTGGCGATCATAGGATTTCTATTTTGAGCCCAGTCAGACACTGCTGCTATAATCATTGGAATCCATTACTCATACAGTTGCCAAATTTAGCAGATACAATACATGATGCCCACTTCATTTGAATTTCAGAAGAACAACTAATATTTTAGTATAAATATATCCCAAATATTGTGTGGGTCATACTTATACTAAAAAATCATTGTTCATCTGGAATTAAAATTTAAACAGTTATATTTTATCTGGCAACTATAATTACTAGCTGAATTTCCTGCCTGTTTATCTTATAGTTCTCAATGTTTTCTACCTTTTCAAAATCCACATCAAGCAACTTTAGCTTGGCCACCTTGGTCTGTGATCTGTTGTACCACTAGAAGGATTATTTCACTTTTGTTTTTGGCTGTTTGTAGAAAGTAAAGCCAAAAGACAAAAAGGATTAGATAAGAATCCTTCTTTTCCCATGACTCTAGTAAAACAGAGTATAGAGCACACACAGTTCAATTAGAACTTCATTTTGAGAGGGAGCTTTGAATAATGAGTTGCTCTCGCTTGTCTCAACCATCTATTAACTCACCATCATGAAACAACAGATGGCCTGGTGTGAAATGTGCCTACAGGGCTCTGTTTATGGGAGAAACCTATGCCAAGGGCTGCATTTGTTTCTCTTCTCTAATTACCCATTTGGTGGAGATATTTTTGGAATTTCCTGCAGTGAGCATTACTAGGCTGAGGATATGATTGGAACCTGCATGGCTTGTGTGGGATATCTAGCATCTAAGCTTTTGCTTTTATATGATTTCAGGCTTTGTGTATTATTGTTCACTGAAATCTGAATATTTTTGGCCATGAATGAAGAATTCATGAATTAATTCAAGTTATTTATTTATTGAGACAGGGTCTTCCTCTGTTGCCCAGGCAGGAGTACAGTGGCGCGATCTTGGCTCACTGTGACCTCCGCTTCCTGGGTTCAAGCGATTCTCCTGCCTCAGCCTCCCGAATAGCTGGGATTACAGGTGCCCATCACCATGCCTGGCTAATTTTTTTTGTAGTTTTAGTAGAAACAGGGCTTTGCCATGTTGTCCAGGCTGGTCTTGAACTCCTGACCTCAGGTAATCCGCCTGCCTTGGCCTCCCAAAATACTAGGATTACAGGCGTGAGCCTAATCCCAATTCAGGTTTATCTATACAATGATGGTAATTATTTCCTGAAGATTGTACAAAAATGTGTAGTTTTTCTGATAAATTTCATTCCTTTTTAGCTTTAATACTCCTCAGTTAATAGATTGTTCTTACGGTTTAATCCCAGAACAAAGCATCATCAATTGATGTATGTAGGAGTCACTTTATCTAACAAGCTATTTCACCTTACCCCACTTTAAGAGATGGGCTGGTGGATTTCAAAGGCCATTTGACTCAACAAACAGAGCTGAAAATCTCTTATGTTATAGGTTGCTTTTCAGGTCTTCTATTTGTACCATAAACTATTTCTAGTTTGGATTTTCTAAAGATATGTAGAACTCGGTGAGGAAATTGCATTCTTAGAATTATTAGACTAAAGTGTAGGGCAAACATTTATAAAGAGAGTAAATATTAATAGAACAGGCAGTATGGTGTAGAGCTCAGATTAAATAATATTTGGTTTGCTTTGTTCTCTTACCTTTCAAATTTTGCTTACTCAGAGGCGCCGTGTGAAGCAGAAGCATCCATTATTGTGTACCCGTTGGGTTAGCAAGAAAGAAAATTTACCCCTTGAAGAACATCGAGTGCCCTGTGTCCATGTCCTCAGGGTTATGTTCGAATAACAATAGTAATATTAAAAAATAGAGTTAATTTTTAAGCACTGACTATGTGCTGGTGGCTTTTCATATAATATCTTATTTGCCCTTCCTACTCATGGAGAACTGTAATCAGTTGTTAAAATTCTTCCACTGGCCTGTAAGCCCTTCAAGAGCACTGGCCATCTTATTTAGTTCTGAATTTCTAGTATCTAACATAGTGCCACCTCGTTATATTTCTCAGTAAGGGGAGAATAAATAAGTAATAAATAAGTGAACAAGAAAACTATTACTTAAAATGTTAGAGGAGAATAATAATTACTAGATCACTCATAGTAGTCAATTTTTAAAATAATATTTTAAAATTATATTTATTTTACCTTTTAATGTAATATTTGATATATACTAAGGAATATATATATGTATGTATATATATACATACACAAAATAAAGCATGATGTAAAGACTAATCATGACCTACTATCCAAATCAGATCATGGATTATTACCAATTACCTACCTATGTATTCCTTCCTTCACCCACCCCCACTGCCTTCCCTACTATAGGGTAATGACTGTTCTGAAAATTTGGTTCATCATTTCACCATTTTTGTTTTTTTAAATATTTTTATATATGTATGTGTGTCTAGAGAATATATTGTTTATCTTTGCTAGTTTTGCGCCTTATAAAATACGGTGTCATACTATACAAAGTCTGCAGAAACATGCTTCTTTCACGTAGCATTATGCTCCTCAAATTCATCTATGTTGTTGCATGCAGCTGTAGTTCATTCATTTTATAAACGTATAATATTGAACTGTGTGAATAAACCACAATTTAAAAATTTCTTCTCCTGTCAGTGGACTTTCCGGGCCTGTTTTTTTTTTTTTTTTTTTTTTTAACCTTTTTGCTAGTATAAGTGATACTATCCACATTCTTGGACACATCTTTTAGCACGTGAGCTAGAACCTCCTTCAGGCATATACCTGTAATTAGAATTGCTGGGATGAAGGCTATGTGATTGTTCAACATGACAAGATAATACCCAGTGATTTAAGAAGGCAATCACCTTATTTCCTGGGTGAACCAGAATTGAGAACCCAAAGTTAATCTAATTCAAACGACTTACCTTGTTTTCTATTTAGTATTATGTCCTGGAGACTGAATACCTGTTAAGGAGCAAATTCCAGTGAAGACAACCTGTCACTAGTTATAACTGAGTTCCTGATGAACAGTATATGGTCTACAAAGGTCACTTACTGGGTAAAGTCTTTGAGAGATGACTCTGTAAACTGAAAGTCTAAACTCTGATGGTTCTAAAAATATGGAATAAGTAGAAGTCCTGAAGACTTTGTAATTCCCAAGAGCTACTTCATTGAAATCCCCTGAAAGCAGAAGTATTATTTTGAGAAAATAAAATGGGAAACAATATTTCTATCCCTTCTACTGATATGGAGAATATCTTGATACAGGATGAACTCAACTTGTTTAGTTAATTATTTCTAGAATATTTTTGTTTTGCATAATGTATCCTTCTGTATGTTATGTGCTAGTCTATTGCAGGAAATACAAAAGAAATCTTAGTTTGGTGTGATTTACTGCTAAAAGTGTATTTTATCCATATATACGGTAAGAAAAAAGTATTCATATAGTTAATTATATATGGTCACATCTTTAGTAGATATTTTTATACATCTGCTACAAATTGGAAATTTTTGACTAGAGAAGAATCTATATACTTTAAATAAGTTTTCATCTGACCTAAAAGTCTTCTGATCCATTTGGAAGATTACTTCCCAATAGATTCCAATTATAATCCAGATTCTTAAATTGCCCATACTGTTTAGATTCAGACACAAAGCTACATGTTGTAAATGTTACCAGAAAATAGACCTACTATGTAAGAAACTATTGATGTTCTGCTTGCATGCAGAGATTGATCCCTCAAATGCTGGGTCCATGCTTTTGAACCGATCAAATCACCAATCTTTTGTTTGAAATCTAAGTTGTTAAATTTCATACTCTTATCATTTGGAAAAGGTAATATGGGTGAATAAGTTACAATTACCCAGTCTGCAAAATTATGTTTTTTGAGCACATACCAACATGCATTGTCCTGCACCAGACAGTATGGGAGCTAGCAGAAGCTCCCATTCTGTACGTAGCCCTGTTCTGTATTGTGGAGCAAGGGAAGAAATTTATATTGTAATAAATGATGAACTTCATAGGGTAGAACATTAAATGTTGAATGAAAATTGTCATAATTTTTGGGAGAGAGCTATCTTTGGAACAACTTACTTCTTGTTGTATTTATAAATTGAAAATCTAATTTATATTGGATCTTCTTTCACTCTATAATTTTTTTGCTTTGAGTAATTAGAGTTGTTAATATTAAAATTTATTCACTGAAGTCAGATGTAGATATGTAATTAGTATAAACTTCTTTTTCATTTGTTCCACATCTTCTTGTTGCTTATAAATGTGTTTAGCACATAGTGCTAATTCTATGAACTATTGCACACATTTTAAATAATAATTATAAAAACCAACAGAAAATATATTAAGCCAACACAATGGAGTTCAATATCTAGTGATCAAATTGAATGGCCAAAGCTCAAGTAATGTTTGAAAACAATGCTTATGTGATAACCAGAGTTTAGCCAACAGAGTCTAATTTGTCTATCTTTATTATAGACATGCTCAAGATATTTTATTATAAACTATAGTCTCTGAAATAATATTGGTGATGAGAATTTAATGACATGCAGTCTGTGAAACACTGGATTGTTTCACGTGAGGAAATATCTGATTTTCCTTAAAGCAGTTTGCTATCTTTCCACTTGGCAGCAGGATTATGACTAAACTTTGACTTGAAATGCATTGTTAGATACAGCCATGCCGAATGTAGTCTAAATTTCTTACTCACATTTAAGGAGAAAATAGAAGATGGTAAATGATAAACTAAAGATGGTAAATGATAAACTAAAAGATTATATATATGTGTGTGTGTATACACACATACATTAAGTGACACATGACTCTGTGTGTATATATATGTGTGACACACATAAGAACATATCCACATCGTTAAGTCACACACACACACACACACACACACACACACACTCACAGTCTTGTGTCTTTTAATGATGGGGGTATGTTCTGAGAAATGTGGTGTTAGGTGATTTTGTCATTGTATGAAAATCATAGAGTGTTCTTACACAAACCTACATGGTATAGCCTGCTACACACCTAGAATATAGGATATAACCTATTGCTCCTAGACTACAAACTTTTACAGCCTGTTACTATACTAAATACTGTAGGCAACTGTAACACAATGGCAAGTATTTGTTTAAGCATATATAAACATAGAAAAGGAACAGTAAAAATACAGTATAAAAGATGAAAAATGCTACACCTGTAAAGGGCACTTACCATAAATGAAGCTTGCAGGAGTGCAAGTTGCAGGAGTGAGTAGTGAGTGAATTGTGAAGGCCTAGGACATTACCGTACACTGCTGTAGACTTTATAAACAACGTATACTTAGGCTACAGTAAATTAATTTTTTTTAAAGTAATTGCACTGTGACATTATGATGGCTATGACATTGCTGGGCAATGGGAATTTTTCAGCCCTGTTATGATCTCGGACTACCACTGTATGTGTGGTCTGTTGCACACCAAAGGTCGTTGTATGACACCTCTCTCTCTCTCTGTCTCTCTCTGTCTCTCTCATGTGTGTGGGTATAAAATCTTCCTTTTCTTTCTCATAAATGTATAAATGTTCGCTCGTATTTTTCCAGGGAAATCATTAAGCCAAAGAGGAAATAGTCACTAATTTACAACATATAAATACCAGTAATCAGGGAAGATCATAATTTGTGGTGAATCGTGATAATTACTACTTAACATTTATGAAGGTCTTTTTAATTTGTAAAATGGTTTTATCTTACTTACCTCTCCCTATAAAGTCATATGCATGTAACAGGTAAGGAAAATTAGGCCTGTTTGGGTTATGACTTCTCCAGCATTTCATGATTAATAGCTCACCATCATCTTCTCACAGTTGGACTTATCTTAATATAGTTTCTTCTGCTATTTTTATATGCATATGTGTTACTTAGTTTAACCATAATATACATAAAATCTACATAAAATTTATATCCTATTTATTTATTACCACATATATTCATGTTTTGACATTCTGTTTTTAGAGTTATTATCCTAAATATCTGTGTAATATTTTATTAAAAAGATGTGAATCTTTTCACATCTTTTTCATGAGGGACCCTTAATTCATTTATTCAAAAATATTTATTAAGCCCTTATAATGTGTCAGGTACTAGGCACTGAGAATATAGCCCTGAACTAGGCAGTTTGTTAATGTCAAAAAATTAAAATTTTTTTTTTAGATATTGTTTTCTAATATGTCATAAGTATATAAAAAACAGAACTGCATGCAATGGTCACAATAATTAGTCCTTTCCCCAAGATAATTAGGAGGATTTTTATATGGCCCTTGATGTGTAAATTCCTTTTAAATAGGTTATATAAATTTTTATAACCTGTTTAACTTCCCCAAATTCTTACCTGGATATTACACACACACACACACACGTACTCATGCATGTGAAATATTGTGTGTATGTTTAATTTTGCTAATTTGATGGGTGATAAGTGGTATCTTATTTATTCAATTTATAAGTGTTGATAACTGATAAAAATATTAACTATATAATTATTTTTATATATAGAAACATCTGTCCATATCTGTTTTTTCTCACGTGAAACATCTGTTCACATCTGAATCCACTTGTATTTTGAGGTACCAAGTTCAAGATGGAGAGGCTCAGCAACATTCATGGAGAATCTGTTTTACTCACTAATTTTACCACCCTTTTCATACATGTAAGTTCTCTATATACTTAGGTGTAATTCTTAGTTACATATGTAGCCTAGTAATATCTGATTAAATTACATTATACTTAAATGTATTTTAACATTTGATAATGCAATTTGCCTATTATTACTCTTTCTATCAGAAAGTTCATTAGCTTACTTGATCATTTACCACCTTACCTCTTTTAGTGAGGCTTTATAATTTTCTTCATAAAGGTTTTATATGTGTCTTGTTAAGACATTTCTAATCATTACATACACGATACATTGACTTTTTCATTGTTGTTTTGGTGTTATTAATTGACTTAGTTCCTTTACGATTTCTTACTAGCTAGTGATGATAATTTCTAACTGGCCAATATACTGAATACTGATATTATTTATAATTGTTTTCCAGTTAAATCTATTGACTTTTAAATGTATTAATACCGTTGGAAATTAAGTGTTTTCTACTAGTTTTCAGTATCTACTGGTCTTACTTTCTTATTTGCTTTGGCTAAAAATTCATGAACAGATTTCCAATTCTGAGTAGGATGCAACAGCTTGTAATATTCCAATGTTTTTGATGAAAACACTTGGGAAAGATGAATAAACTTTTAAAAATTACAAAACTAGATTGCTGCTAAAGCCATGAGGGCTGGAGGGCACAAGTTCAATGAGGGGAGAGCCATAGAGAGGTAAGCTGATGTTTTGTAGATGTTTTATTCCTTTTCTTTTTTAAACTGATTTGTGATATATGGCAAGAAACTAAGAACCTGGACTTTGGGAAGAGAACTGCTACTAGTTGCAGAGAAATCTGTAAATATTTTAAATCAAAATATATTGTGGGGGTTGAAGACACAAAACTGAGTATTGCGGGGACTCTAATGTCTAACTACTTTTTGCCTAAAAACTTTTGCTGAATTTTGAAATTGCCTATGGCAAGAGGAAATATATTTTTCTCTCAAGAGTTATGATATGTAGTAGCAAATTAAATGCTTTGAGAAGACTCTCAGAAACAAAAGCCATTTAACTTTGCTATCCTATAATTTTTTCAAGCTTGTTTAAGAGGTTCTTTATTCATAACAAAAACATTCTGTTGAGTGCAGTTTGGAAAATGCTGAACTATACTATCATTGAGTACATCATGTCAAATTTGTATATGTATTGACTGACATGGCATGTCTGACTGTAACTCCTAAATTAAACTGATTTATTGAATTTGATATCAGTTTAAACACTAGAGAAAAACAAATAGGTTATCAGAACAAATGCATACTATATTAAATTAGAACACAGTGTGCTTTGACAATACGGCAGGTATATATTTAAGTTTTATAATGATATCTAATGTCAAAGAACAGGAATACACTTTTATGTTTTTTCCACATAATTTCAAGTGAACTTCTTGGAGAAAGCAAGGAGAAAGCCACTAAGAAGCATACATTTGTCTAAAAGCATAATATATTAAAATATTGTATGATTGTATGGAAGTCCATTAACTTAGTTCTAATAAAACAAAGTGTGGTTATATGACAAATCTGTGGCAAAAACTGGCAGCAAAATAAATACAAAAATAATGAGATAAAATATAAATTAAATAGAACCATGTAATGCATCAAAACAGACTGAGGATGCAAGATAAATATACAAAGAAAAATTGCATTTCTATATGCTGGCAATGAAAAAATCTCAAAAAGAAATTAAGAAAAAAATTTTATGCACAATAGCATCAAAAAGAATAAAATACTTATGAATAAATATAACAGAAGAAAGGGAAGACCTCTATACTGAAAACTACAAAATATGGCTGGGAGGAATTAGGGAAGAGTTAAATAAATAGAGACATTTCATGTTAATGGATTGAAAGATATATTTTGAATATGGCAAGTCTTTGAAATTGATCTGTAGATTTGACACAATCCTTATCAAAATCCTAGTAGGATTATTTATTTATTTTTGGTAGAAATTTACAAGTGGATTTTAAAATTTATATGAAAATTCGAAGAACTAGATTAGCTAAAACAATATGGAAACGAAGAGTTGGAAGACTTACTGTATACAACTACAGACATCAAGACATGTGGTATGGGCATCAGGTTACACCTTTATGTCAATAGAATGGAATACAAAGTCCAGAAATCAGCATTTACATTTATGGCCAATTGATTTTCAACAAAGTTGCCAAGGAAATTCAATGGAGATATAATAATCTTTTCAAAAAACTGTACTTAAAGAATTGGGTATTCACGTGTTAAAAAAAACTTAGCACCTTTCCTCACATCATATACAAAAATAACTCAAAATTGATTATAGACTCAAATGTGAAAGTGAAAACAATAAAAACTCCACAAGAAAACATAGGAGAAGATCTTTGTGATCTTGGAATAAGCAAAGATTTCTTCGATATGACACCAAAAGCATGATTCATAATAGCAAGCAATTGATAAATTGTATCTCATCCAAACGAAAACCTTTTGCTCTTTAAAAGACACCATTAAGAACATTAAAAACAGAAAAGCCAAAAACTGGGTGAATATATTTGCAAATGATATAACTGATACTTGTACCCATAATATATAAAGAACTTTTACAATTGAATAAAAAGACAAGCGACCCAATTAAATAAGTTTTGTTTTAGTAGGCAAAAAATGTGAACAGACATTTTACAAAGGAGATATGACTAACAAACTCAGAAGATGCTTAACATCGTTAGTCATTGGAGAAATGTAAATTAAGACCATAATGAAGTACATCTTCATATCAACTACAGTGGCTACACTTAAAATGAACACAACTGACAACTGGAACCCTTTATACAATACTGGGAAAATGTAATTGTGCAGCCATGTTTGGAAACAGTTGGCAGTTTCTTTAAAATGTTAAACATAAGTTTACCATATAACTTAGGAATTCCACTCCAAGGTATCTGCACAAAAGAAATAAAAACATAAGTCCCTCCAAAGACTCATATACTATGTTAATAGCACATGATTCCTCCAAGCTCCAAACTGGAAACACCCAATGTCTATCAACTGGTGAATAGAATATGTTACATCTATGCAGTGGCATGTAACTTAGAAATAAAAAAGATCACACTACTGATAAATGCTACCACATGGAAAAACCTCAAAAATATTATGCTATGTGAAAAAGCCAGACACAAAAGTCTATGTACTGTGATTCCATTTATATGGTATTTCTAGAAAATTCACATCTATAGAGATAGAAATCAAATCAATGGTTACCTAAGAGTGGCAATGGGGATTAACTGCAAACAAGCCCAAGGGAACCTTTATGGGGATGTGTGATGAAATGTTCTAAAGTGCATTGAGGTACAAGATTGCACAATTCTATGAATTTACTAAAAATGATTGAACTCTAAATTTGCAATGGGTGAATTGCATGATATATAAATTGCATCTCAATACAGATGTTAAAATAACCTCTGCCACAACAAAATAGACCTTGGAAATCACATATATTTTTATGATAAAAATTATGGCAAATGCAAAGCGTGAATCTCATAAATGGGCGTTTCAGTATGTGTTTAACCTTAGGCTGATTACTTCATCTGTTGGGAGCTCAGAGATTACCCAGTTAAAACACTTATTTTATAAATGAAGAAGCTAAAATTTATTTTTACATAGGTCTGCTGTAGCTCGCTATTCCACTATTGGTCAATTTTGCTCTTCCTATGCTATTTTAATTACCACAGCTTCAAAATCAGTCCTGTAGCTCTCTGAGCAAGTGTCAGAAGATTGCATGTAGTAGAATATACTTTCATTAAATTAGTAAGCTGTTCATTGTTTCACAAAGCATAGTTGAAATATATTTTTTTCAGTCTCAAGAACTGGGATTATCCCAAGTCTCTTGACTTTCCACAGTACCCTTGAGTATCATGCTGATTCAAGTAGAGCCCTACTTCCTATTTACAGCTGGTTGTGATATAATAATTTTTTTTTTTGAAGGAGTCTTGCTCTGTCACTCAGGCTGGAGTGCAGTGGCATGATCTTGGTTCACTGCAACCTCCATCTTCCTGGTTCAAGCAATTCCCCTGCCTCAGCCTCCCGAGTAGCTGGGATTACAGGTGCACATCACCATGCCTGGCTAATTTTTTTGTTATAATCATGTTTTTTTTTAAAGAAATTAAAACCAACTTGAACAATATATTTCTAAGAAATATATACATGATAAAATGATATTAAGAATTAAAAAAAAGCTTGAGAAGGGAGCAGCAGGGGATGATGAAATGGTGAGATGCTCAGATGAGATGGGGAGGAGGCAGATGGCAGATGCACAGATGTAATAATTGCCTTTTTTTTTTTTTAAGACAGGATCTTACTCTATCGCTCAGGCTGGAGTGCAGTGGCATGATCCTAGCTCACTGTAACCTCAAACTCCTGGGTTCAAGTGGTCCCTTCAACCTCAGCCTTCCGAGTAGCTGGGATTACAGGTGTGCCCCACCATGCCCAGCTATATTTTAATTTTTTGTAGAAATGGGGTCTCACTATGTTGCCCAGGCTGGTCTTGAACTCCTGGCCTCAAACAATCCTCACACCTTGGCCTACCAAAATGCTCAGATTATAGTGCAGTAATTGTTGATGTTCCAGTTCTTCTCTGAAACAGCAGATTCATAGTATTCATGATGTTAATAAATAAGCACATGAATACCTAAAGAAATGAAGTTTCTTTTCTGAAAGATACGAAGATGTGTAAGATACTATGAAAGTTATACTCTTGTAAAGAATATAAGCAATATGCATAGTGGAATTCTTAAGTTGAAGCACAAAAATAATTTACAGAATTTAGAGTTTACAAAACACATATTTTTCATATGATTCCTTGAATCATGCCATAATACATGTGAAATATGTACTATAATCCCAGTTTTCTTAGAATTCTGATAGGTTAAGTGATTTATTCAAAGTAACACATCCAAAAAATAAGGAACTTGGCTCAAATCCTCACTTTAGGTTCCTAGGTCATTTCCCTTGTGGCTGTCATCTCTCAAAATACAGAGTACGAAAGATGTTATATGAGAATCAAAAAGTTAAGTATTAAAATGAAATATATGTCGTTTCTGCCTCTTTGTCATATTTTTATTGGTTTTTATCTTAAGGATTTGGATAAGCTGAACTTACTGAAAATGGAACTGATTTTACTTGCAACGTGTTTTTCTTTGCCCTTTCAGTTTAAAGGCTAAACTTAGCTCTGAATAGAGTTAGTAATCAGCTGGTTGAGTGACTTCCTTTTTATTGGATTTTTATATAAAACACAATTTGGTTATTGAGATATTTGGGGCATTTTTTCCCCTAGGACATAGGAACTAATTTAGGGTGAATGTTTGAAATCTTCTGTTTGTGATCTGTTTGTGAATATGCAATTCAGCAGGATGTAGAGGCCTTAAAAACAAACCAGGAATTTTAATTGCAGTTCTCTGGACAATTTGTGGCCAGTGGGCCTGTGAACAGAGAGGTCACTACAGGCATTGCAGTTTCCTTGCCAAGATTATAACTATTAACTGTTAATTTATGGAACATGTTTCTGCCTACTCTTCAATTGTTCAGAATATTACTGGTTTAATTCATGCCCTCGGATAGGGTTGGGTAGGGAGTAAATGACAAAAGAGATGTTTTCTTGGCAAGTTATGATTAGGTAACTTTTCCAGGAGACCAGGCTTTTACCAGGATAATAGATCTAGACTTGTAGTTCAGTTGTGTTAAGTTCTTTAACAATAAAATAGTTGCAGACCAGATTTAACTTGATAGTTTCTCAAAATCTTAACAATGATTTTAAATACTAAATATATAAATTTATATTTTTTCAAGTTTATAAGAGTGATTTTCTGCCTTTCTTCTCTGGAAAAAAATTTAGATAGAGCTAAATTTATACGCCATTTTTTCCCTATGTTCTCCAAAAAAGGGCCGTTTTCTACTGTTGTAAGCTTAGTGGTTACTTTATAAATGTTTATTCACAAATAAGAGATTGTTATGAAAAGTACAAATGACTTTTGAGCCAATTTTCTAGCCAAATGTTCTTATTTACAAATAAGGAAATTAAAGTGGAGAGGTTAAGAGACTTGTGCAGAAGTCCATAGCTAGTTAGCAACTGAGTATTATAATTTAGATCACAAGACCCCCATCCTGTGTTCTTTCTACTCTGCCGCAATGCAGATCAAATCTAAAACTCTAACAATACCACAGCATGATCACGGTCCTATTACTCTTTCAGTATTGGTAGACGATTAAATGAAAAGTTTGATTAGGGGACTCAGAGAAAAAACTACTCACAGATTTTAAATATTTTGTTTTAAATTAAAACCCTAAATAGACATTTTTCGCCATCTTTTGGTGTAGGATCCAGGTCATATCTTTTGGTGTGTGCCCATTGATTAGGTTACCTATGCTTTTTTTTTTTTTTTTTTTTCATAAATCACACTGACAGTACAGCATTTACTATTCTAGCATCAATTTCTTTAGGTTATTAGGGAACTTAAATACACTTGCAAAGTAATTTGAGTCCTGAATCTTTCTAGATTTTTATCATTTCTTCCAATTTAAATAATTTTTAGTCCAGCAAACATATAGGCAATCCTTCCTCCCTCCCTCCCTCCCTTCCTCCTTATTCTCTTCCTTCTTTTCCTCTTTGTCTCTCTCTTTCTTTCCCTCCCTCCTTGCCTCCCCTCTTCCTATTTCCCTCCCTTTCCTCTCTCTTCTTTTTCCTCCTCTTCCTCTTATACTTCCTCTCCTTCTCTTCCTCCCCTCTCCTCCCTACTCTCTCATTCTTCTCACTATCTTTGTCTTTCTGTGTCTGTCTCCTATCTCTCTCTTTCTTTCTTTTTAACTGACTGGACTTTATGGAGTCTTTTCTAATCTTTAACTTGGTTCTTAGAAACAACATCTGTTTCCCTGCTCCTATTCCATCTATTTTCATGCTAGTTAATTAAATTACAGAATAACAATAATAAGTGTAGCTGGCATAAACAGGCTTGGGAAACAATAATAGGCCCTTGATAAACATGATTTAACTGTTGGAGCATTAGTGCTGGAATGACTTGGAGAGCATCATCCTAACTGCAAGCCCTCAGCATGGACGGGAATCAGAAGAGGTTTAGAGAAGAAATGGAGGGCGCGTTAAGAGGGCTTTTACTCAACATAATTACAGCGCCCACATAATGATTAAAATAGGTTTAAAGTTTTTCTGATGGGAAAAATAAGTTTTCAAAAAGATTAAACAAAAAAAGTAAATCTACTTTGAGATAACATTACTATTAATAATTTAATACGGTACCTTCTAGTCTTTTGTGGTCATATATATTTTTATTTATAGATAGGATCATGTTGGACATATAGTTTACTATTTGTACTTTTTATCATTGATTTACGCTATATTTCCCATATTAAATATTCTTTCAAAATGTACATTTTCAGTGATTCACAGGATTTCATCTTGTAAATTTACTAAAATTATTTACATAATTGCCTATTGTTGTATGTTTAATTATTTCTAAGCCTCTTCTCCACTTTTAAAGGAGCAGTTGTAGACCAGAGTGAATACAAACATGAACTTTATAGTCAGCCTCTACTAATTATAGAAAATGGCATATAGTATCTAAAAGTATCAGTGATAAATATCTAGCAGTGCAATTTGTTTTCCTTATTTTTATGTTTTAAAGAAACTTCCGATTCTGTGTATGTGTGTGATTTTTTATATGGTTTTCCCAGCTCTGTACTTAAAGTAGTAATTGATTTGTATTATTCTTATAAGTGAGTTTGATAGGACATAATATATTGTCAGGTATATTACACTGAGACTTGTCATTAAGGAACACATTTCAACTTTTCATCTCTTCAGGTTCTGTTTTAGGTCCCTCCATTAAGTTCCGCGGTTTCTGTGATATAGGTGATGCATATTTCTTTTAAAATTTATTTCTTGGTATTTATATTTCTGTCATTATTGTAAAGACAATCTTCCTTTACTATTACATTCTGATTCACTAAATTTTAGAGCTGTTAAACTCTGTTCTTAGTCCTAAGAGTTTCTTAATTTGTTGGCTTTCAAAGGTCTATTCAACACAATTGTTCATTTCAATTGAATGTAGACTAATAAAAAGTCCAAGAATAGAAGAAATGAATGTCCATACTAGGAAAATTTAATAAATACACCACTACCTAGACTATTTTCCCCATAATTGAAAAATGTCTACATTTTCATAATCATCTCAATTTTGTAGCCATATTGTACCTGACTAATGAGATCATAACAATGAATCTCAACACTGTCAGACCAATGATATCTCTTATAATGGATAAGCCTTTAGCCCCCAAATGAAAATTATATACATATATAATTATATATTAAAAATATCTATTTAAAAAAATACCAATTTCAATATTTAGGCAGATCGAAATTATAATGAAGTAGTCAGATGCTTTCACCTATTTATAAAATATAAATGTGAATTTAAGGGAATAAAATGATCAGAGAATATACCAAAGTGGGAAAATTGAAGACTATAGATACAAAAGAAGGTTAAAAACTAGAGTTAATACTTGGCCAGATTTATTTATACATAAGAAAAAAGATAAAAGGAAATAATAGGTAGAAACTAATTACAGATTTTAAAGTGGAAACCGATGGATATTTGCTAGTCTGGTAAGTGAGCTCAGCCTTCTTTTACTCCACCCACTTCAGGCCTTGGATGCAAGTTTCTTAGTATTCTCTCCCTCTTGCCTCTTGCCTAAACCTTTACAAACAGTCCCTCTAAATTCTCCTTAAGTCACCCAATCTGAGTGTGCCATTTATTTCTCACTGGAGCGCTGAGTAATATAGTACTCGGTATTCACAATGGCTCCATGAAAGAAACTCTCAAAGTGGGAGTGGATTGCTCATATAATTAAGGAGCAGGGAAAATCTTCCTGATTGGGAGAAATAAGGCACAAGTAAGACATGTTATGTGGTGATACCAAGCTTACTTCAGTGGTCCTTGGTGTTGGCATGGGTTGGTGGGCAAGTCATTGGCTGTCAGTTGTCTGTAGAATTTAGTCACTAAGTCAACAAATATGACTACAATGATTGTGGAGTTAGTTATCCGGTGCCCTAGTTTTATTAGTGTCAGTGTATACATCACCATTTGTGGTTTCTCTACTCCCTAATGATGTCTTAGAAAATTATTTATTTATTGGATATTCCTTATATCACTCAATTTGAATGTGCATATATTTATACTGGCTGGGTCCCTATATAGTAGGAGAGACTATATCTGTCATTAGGTGACAGAGTAAATAATGATCTTTCATAAAAACATCCATGTGAGAGCTGCCTTAGTCCCTTCAGGCTGCTATAATGAAGTACCACAGATTGAGGGGCTTATAAACAATAGAAATGTATTACTCACAGTCCTGGAGGGTGGAAGAGATCGGAGTGCCAGCACAGCAGAATTTGGTGAGGGTCTTCTTCTGGATTGCAGACTGCTCTCTTCTGTTCATGTCCTCACATGGTAGAAAAAGAGTATGAGAATTCTCTGGGGTGCTTCTTATAAGGGTACTAATCCCATTCATGAGGGTTCCATGCTCATGGCCTAATCACCTCCCAAAGGCTCCCCTTGCTAATACTATCACATTGGGAGTTAAGATTTCATATGAGTTGTGGAGGAACACAAACATGCAGTCCATTGCAAGAGCAATATATTTTCAAATATGTTTCTTTAAAGGTATTCTTATCTAGCTGCTGTAAAAATAGAAACTCGAAAATGCTCTCTGTCCAAAGTAATAATGTCTATGCTTAAGTCTCATAATAATTCTCATCACTTTTTGATATTGATTTGATCTTTGCATCTTAATAAGACCCTTATTAGCTTTTCAAATATATATGAAAGGTGTATATCATGTCATACTATTTCAATTTTTAATATTTAATTTTTCACTGTTTGAATGAAAACTTAATAGTATCAAATGGCAAACAAAATATTTTTAAATAGTTTCCTTTAAAAAGCCATCATCTTCTCTGTTTAGGATGGAACATTCAAACTCTTCTTCATTGTTATTGCATAGTTTCGGAGATAACTCTTAATTGTATTAATAGCACTGAACAGCACTCAGTGATTTGTGGAGCTTTCTACCAAGATACTTGGTGACCAAATGTGGCCAAAGAACAATATGATGAATTTCTAAAGAACTTAGTGCTACTTTAAAAAAGTTGACTATACATGCACATTGCTAAATGTTGATGACATTCCAAGGTTTTCTAATGTAAAGGCATTAGAAAAAGATTTTTTTCTCTGAAGCAATTATAGTGGTTTCAAGCATCTAATTTTTGATGACTCTTTTGTATTCATTTCCAGTAATTTTGAAAATAGCATTATCTCAGTAACTTCTTCATTTCACTGGAAAGAATCAACATATGTGTATAGTAAGACTGTTATTCCACAGAACATGTTCATCCTATTGAAATGAAAACTCAGTTGATTGCAACTCATTTTCAGTTGCTTTTGGCAACTTTTACCAAATCATTTATTTTTCTTGAAATTTCACCATTGTTCAATGGCATAGAAAAGATAATTTATTGAAATTTTTTCATTATTGCACTAATCTCTTTTGAAGCTGGTATGACAAGTTTTTATACAAAATCATATGATTTAACACATTTTGTAATCACTTGAATTATTTTTCAGAGACTTCTCACATCCATTGCACCTGATCACTAAAAACCAATAGTGTCTTTCCAACCTTTGTGACATGCAGAAACACTCGTACATGTTTCCAAAATGCCCCCCACTAGGAGGAAGCATCATTCCCTTGAAAAGTCACTGGGCTACAGTAACATTAAGCCAACATTTTCAAGGTCATTAAGAAAGATTAATTTGGAGTTATTGAAATAAATTATTCCATGAGGTTGCAAATTTATTCCAATAGAAAAGATTTTAAGGTATCTTGCATTCTTATAATCTCACTCCTAATTAGTGAACACAGCACCTTCACAAACCGCTCTGAGAAAAAAATCAGTTTCTAACTAATTTTTCTGAGGACTAAGGGCCCAGTAACTTCAAAGGCAGTCCATCCACTCTTAATGAATCATACCTTTAGAAAGTCCTTTCATAGAGCGAACATGTGCCTGCCTGCCTGCAGCGCCCAGTGAAGAACGAGGGAACTGAATTAATGTGGAGTGCTTCCTAGCACTATTTGTTTTCCTGTCTGGAACATGGCCTGTTCTGTTGACCCGATTTGGGTTATGATTCATGTTATAGAGAGTCAGACAAATAAGTGTTTCTATCCAAACAGCTTCTTTCAGATCTGAGCTCCTGTCTCCTTTTTCTTTAGGTGAAGTTCAAATCTGATGTCTTGTCCCTCCCTCACATGTGAAACTGCGGAACTTTTCTCCAACTGAATAGGTATTACATTTTCCAGGGCAAGAGTCGACAGCGGGGGCCTGTATTTCAAGCTGCTCTTTCTTCTTTCACCTTCTAAAGGTCATATTCTCCAAGCCTCCCTCTTCCCCAGCCCTGACTCCTCCACATGTAGGACTTCACTAGCCACCAGAGCACTGATGACTCTTGAGTCAATATCCCCAGCTCTGGCCCCTCTTTTTTGCTCAATATCTGTTTATCTTCTGTTCACCTGAGTAACCGAGGTAATATATGTTCAAAACCTAGCTCTCTTCTACCTTGCCGAATTATCCCACCACTCGTTCCATCACCCAAAACAAAAACCTGCAAATTGTGAGTCATCTTGAACTCACAATCCATATTCATTTAATTGGTAAATGCTATCAGGAATCTCTCATAGTTGTTCAGTGTTCTTCAGCATCAATCTCAGTGCCTTAATAATAATGGTTCTCAGCAAATGAGAGCTGTGGTTTGCCAGGAACTGTGCTAGACTTCTCACATACATTCTTATTTAGTCTTCTTAAAACACTGAAGGAAAGTAATATCATTCTAATGCTACCTAGGAATAAACTAAGGCTCAATTAAGTAAAATAATTCTCCCAAGGTCATATAGCTGTTATCCGATGAAACCAGGATTGAAACTTACGTCACACTTTCACCAAATCCCATATTTTCAACTTTCTCATCAATTTCTTTCATGAGAATTCTTGAAAGTATTCTCTTGGTTTTCCTGCTTCCACGTGTTTTTCTTCTAATCTCACTTCTACATGGCTGCCAAAGTAATCTTTCTCAAATACAAATTCAATTGTGTGACTCCTATCCTTACAAATCCTTCCGTGTCTCTGCCTTTCTTGTATTTCAAGATAAAACCCAGACTCCTGGGCTTAGCCCACAAGATAATTCATGAGGTGGCCTCTGTCTACCTCTCTAGCTTCATTGTCTGCCATTTCATCAAGGACAGTCACACTTCCCTCTAGTCACAGAAGCAACTTTTAGTTCTCCAAATACAACATGCTGTTTCATAATTTAATACCTTCTCATGTGCTTTCTGGTCTACCTGGGTGCACTCAACCCACATTCTCTGCCAGGCCAATGTCTTCAAGGCTTGCTCATGTTACCTTCTTTTTTTTTTTTTTTTTTTTTTTGAGACGGAGTCTCGCTCTGTCGCCCAGGCTGGAGTGCAGTGGCGGGATCTCGGCTCACTGCAAGCTCCGCCTCCCGGGTTCACGCCATTCTCCTGCCTCAGCCTCCCAAGTAGCTGGGACTACAGGCGCCCGCCACTACGCCCGGCTAATTTTTTTTTTTGTATTTTTAGTAGAGACGGGGTTTCACCGTTTTTTAGCCGGGATGGTCTCGATCTCCTGACCTCGTGATCCGCCCGCCTCGGCCTCCCGAAGTGCTGGGATTACAGGCGTGAGCCACCGCGCCCGGCCCATGTTACCTTCTTTAAGAAGTCTTCCTTGATAATTATGTCTTTTATTTAGACAATTTCATTTTCATCTGTGATGCCTTGTGCATGCTTCCATTTTAGGGACTTCTTTTTTTCACGTGTACTTTCCCAAAAGCAAACCCCTGAGACAAGGATTCAAGTATAAGTAGTTTATTTGGGATGTGCGTGGAACACTGGCAGGGAGAGGGGCAGTGACACAAGGAAGAGAAATCAGACACAAAAGGGTGTATGATTAACCACAGTGGGACAGTTGATCTTAAATCCTACCAGAAAACTTTTAGGAATTGGCATGAAACACGCAACTCAGAATTAAACTACCCAAGGTGGGAGGGAGCTGAAATATTTATATACCAGCACTTGTGTATAAATTAAGAGTGTCTGGAAGGTGCTGCTTCTCAGATTTGAGGGGATTACTGTTCTTTGGGCAGAGCAGACTTGTGTGGGTCAGAGTAAAGCAATCAGGCCCAGAGATGCAGATTATGCCTAGGGGTTAGGGTTAGGCAGCTGTAAGTCACCTGAAGCATGTCCAAAGGGTATGGACTACATAGTGACTGGTCTACATGGTAGACTTTACTATGGTCCTTTGTTTACTTGTCTGCATTCCCAACTAGACTGTAATGAGACTATAATGAGAGCAAGTACCTTATAATGAGAGCAAGTACTTTCCCCGTAGCTAGGACGGTTGCTGCCACAGGGTAGGTTACTCCCTAAAAGATGGTGGGATAAAAGACTGAATAATATGAGGCCTGTCAGAAGCGCAAGTAGGTACAGGAGTCCCAGGTGCAGAGGGGTAGTAGACTGAAGTCTTTCCCTGGAGGTTACGTTGGGGAACATCTTCAACATTTGAAGGTGTTTCTTGGTGGCTTAGCTATTGGATTTCCTCCTTAGTTTTGGAGACTTAATAAAATCATGTCCTAAAATAGTTGCAACATGAATTCACTTATTCATGTATCCACAAATATTTATTAGCTGTTACCATGTACCAGGTACAGTACAAGGATCTAGCATGAACTTTTTCAAAATTTTGTGTCCACTGAGCAGAGTTCTTCTTGTTTGTGATATTTGTGAAATATGTGAAATTCTATGTGTAAGTATTTGAGTGTGTGTTTGCATTTTTATGCATGTCATGTTCTTTCGCTATTATGACTCATCTACTGAAGACGTTAAATGGAAATTTTGCCTCACAATAGCAATACATCACAAGTGTTTTGCAAAACCCTTTCATGAGTACAACTACATTAGACTGTTGCAACGATCCTGTGAGATAGAAAGAACAGACAATATGTCTGTACTGTATACGTGAGGAGTGAAGTTCAGGGACTGTAAATCACTTGCTCATGGTTATTCATATAGTAATTAGCAACCTTGGCTCTAAATTTTCAGAGTCCAAATTTAGTTCCACTATGCTTTATTAGTTTGAGCTTTGTACAGAAGGCTTTTATTACTCACTTAACATTAACTCATAAATAGGTACATATATGACTAAGAAATGAACACTTTTATTGTCTAATTATTACTGGTAATAATCTCCAACCACTTAAAGATTATAATTTAGCTTATATCCTGAAGTCCATCCTCTGATGCAAGTTTGTACAGCAGTGGCACAGAACAGTGTCCACATCTATTTGCATGTTCAGGAAACGCTCTTTATTGTCTATCTCCTGCCTACCTTTCTGACTTATTTCCTATTATTTTTTCCTAAAACACATTAGACTTTAAACACATTAGACAGTTTCCCAAACACAGGATACAATTTCATTTCATTCTGCTTTAGCTCATCTTCTTTCCTCAGGCTGGAATGATTTTGGCCTAATTAATGAATCCAAGAATAAACAAACTCTAAAGTCCCCTCTCTTCAGCAGCTTTCCCTGACTGGTCTAGGCAGGATGAATTGCTTGCTCCCTCATCTGT